>NC_000010.11:87264307-87415822 GCF_000001405.40 Homo sapiens
AGGATAATGGCCTCCAGTTGCATCCATGTTGCCACAAAGGACATAATGTCATTCTTTTTTATGGCTACATAGTATTCCATGGCGTATATGTACCACATTTTCTTTATCCAATCCACCATTGATGGACACCTAGGTTGATTCCACGTTTTTGCTATTGTGAATAGTGCTGTGATTAGCATACAAGTGCATGTCTCTTTTGTGTAAAATTATTTATTGTCCTTTGGGTATATACCCAGTCATGAGATTGCTGGGTCAAATGGTAGTTCTATTTTAAATTCTTTGAGAAATCTCCAAATTGCTTTCCACAGTGGCTGAACTAGTTTACATTCCTACAAACAGTATATAAGTATTCCCTTTTCTCTGCAGCCTTGCCAACATCTGTTATTTTTTGACTTTGTAATAATAGCCATTCTGATTGGTGTGAGATGGCATCTTATTGTGGTTTTGATTTGCATTTCTTTGATGTTGATATAATCACCAAAAACGTAAACATTTCAGTTGCTATTGGTTACATGTTACGTTTTCTGTTGTTTTTATTGTTGTGTAGTTCCTCCTGAGCTGGTTCGGCTCTGTGTCCCCACCCAAGTCTCTCACCTTGAATTGTAATAATCCCCTTGTGTTCTTGGAGGAACCCCGTGGGAGGTAATTGAATCATGGGGAGGGGGTTTCTTCCCATGCTGTTCTCATGATAGTGAGTAAGTCTCATGAGATCTGATGGTTTTAAAAAGGGGAGTTCTCCTACACATGCCCTCTTGCCTGCTGCCATGTAAGATGTGGTTTTTGCCTTACACCATGACTGCGAGGCCTCCCCAGCCATGTGGAACTGTGAATCAATTAAACCTCTTTTCTTTACACATTACCCACTCTCGGGTATGTCTTCATTAGCAACATGGGAACAGATTAATACAGTAAATTGGTACTGGGTAGTGGAGTGCTGCTGTAAAGACATCAGAAAATGTGGAAGCTACTTTGGAACTGGGTAACAGGCAGAGGTTGGAACAGCTTCGAGGACTCAGAAGAAGACAGAAAAGTATGGGAAAGTTTGGAACTTGCTAGAGGCTTGTTGATGGCTTTGACCAAAATGCTGAAGTGATATGGACAATAAAGTACAGGCTGAGGTGGTCTCAGATGGAGATGAGGGGTTTGTTAGGAATTGAAGCAAAGGTGACTCTTGTTATGCTTTAGCAAGGAGACTGGTGGCATTTTGCCCCTGCCCTAGAGATTTGTGGAACTTTGAACTTGAGAGAGATGATTTAGGGCATCTGGTGGAAGAAAGTTCTAAGCAGCAAAGCATTCAAGAGGTGACCTGGGTGCTGTTAAAAGCATTCAGTTTTATTTATTCACAAAGATATGGCTTGGAATTGTAAGTTATGTTTAAAAGGAAAGCAGGGCATAAAAGTTTGGAAAATTTGCAGCTTGATGATGTGATAGAAAAGAAAAACTCATTTTCTGAGGAGAAATTCAAGCCAGCTGCAGAAATGTGCAAGTAACAAGGAGCCAAATGTTAATACCCAAGACAATGGGGAAAAGTCTCTAGGGCATGTCAGAGACCTTCCTGGAAGCCTCTCCCATCACAGGACTGGAGACCTAGGAGGAAAAAATGGTTTCCTGGGCCAGGTCCAGGGCTCCATTGCTGTGAGGAACCTAGGGACTTGGTGACCTACATCCTAGCTGCTCCAGCCATGGCTAAAAGGGGCCAAGGTAGAGCTCGGGTTGTGGTTTCAGAGGGTGCAGCTTGGCAGCTTCCACATGGTGTTGAGCCTGTGGGTGCACAGAAGTCAAGAACCAAGGTTTGGAAACTTCTGTCTCAATTTCATTGGATGTATGGAAATGCCTGAATGTCCAAGAAGAAGTTTGCTGTAGGGGCAGGGCCTTCATGGAGAACCTCTGCTATGGCAGTGCAGAAGGGGAATGTGGAGTTGGAGCCTGCACACTGAGTCCCCAATGGGGTGCTGCCTAGTGGAGCTGTGAGAAGAGGGGCACTGTTCTCCAGACCCCAGAATGGTAGATACACTAACAGCTTGTGCTGTACACCTAGAAAAGACACTCAATGCCAGCCCATGAAAGCAGCCAGGAGAGGGGCTGTACCCTGCAAAGCCAAAGGGGTGGAGCTGCCCAAGGCTATGGGCGCCCAGTTCTTGCATCAGGATGTGAGACATGGAGTCAAAGAAGATCATTTCAGAGTGTTAAGATTTGGCTGCCCCGCTGGATTTTGGACTTGCATAGGCCCTGTAACCTCTTTGTTTTGGCCAATTTCTCCCATGTGGAATGGGTATATTTATGCAATGCCTATACCCCCATTATATCTAGGATGTAACTAATTTGCTTTTGATTTTACAGACTCATAAGTGGAAGGGACTTGCCTTGTTTCAGATGAAATTTTGGGCTTGGACTTTTGGGTTGATGCTGAAATGAGTTCAGTTTTTTGAGGATTGTTGAAAGCGCATGATTGTGTTTTTGAAATGTGAGGACATGAGATTTGAGAGGGGCCAGGGGTGGAATGATTGTAGGGAAAAGAAAGAGAGATCAGACTGTTCCTGTGTCTATGTAGAAAAGGAAGACATAAGAAACTCATTTTGATCTGTACCCTGAACAATTGTTTTGCCTTGAGATGCTGTTAATCTGTAACTTTAGCCCCAAGCCTGTGCTCACAGAAACATGTGTTGTATGGAATCAAGGTGTAAGGGATCTAGGGCTGTGCAGAATGTGCCTTGTTAACAATATGTTTACAGGCAGTATGCTGGTAAAAGTCATTGCCATTCTCCATTCTCGATTAACCAGGGGCACAATGCACTGCGGAAAGCCTCAGGGGCCTCTGCCCAAGAAAGCCTGGGTATTGTCCAAGGTTTCCCCCAACTGAGGCAGCCTGAGATACGGCCTCGTGGGAAGGGAAAGACCTGACTGTCCCCCAGCCTGACACCCATAAAGGGTCTGTGCTGAGGAAGATTAGTAAAAGAAGAAGGCCTCTTGTGGTTGAGATAAGAGGAAGGCCTCTGTCTCCTGCATGCCCCTGGGAATGGAATGTCTCAGTGTAAAACCCAATCATACATTCATTCTATTCTGAGATAGGAGAAAACTGCCCTGTGGCTGGAGATGAAATATGCTGGCGGCAATGCTGCTCTGTTACTCTTTACTACACCGAGATGTTTGGGTGGAGAGAAGCATAAATCTGGCCTACATGCACATCCAGGCATAGTACCTTCCCTTGAACTTATTTGTGACACAGTTTCCTTTGCTCACAGGTTTTCCTGCTGACCTTCTCCCCACTATCACCCCGTTCTCCTGCCACATTCTCCTTGCTGTGATAATGAAAATAGTAATCAATAAATACTAAAGGAACTCAGAGACCGGTGCCGATGCAGGTCCTCTGTATGTGGAGCGCTGGTCTCCTTGGCCCACTGTTCTTTTGCTATACTTTGTCTCTGTGTTTTATTTATTTTCTCAGTCTCCCCATCCCACCTGACGAGAAATACCCACAGCTGTGGAGGGGCTGGCCCCCTTCAGATGATATGGTTTGGCTCTGTATGCCCACCCAAGTCTCACCTTGAATTATAATAATCCCCACGTGGGATCAATTGTGGGACCAGGTGGAGGTAATTGAATCATGAGGGTGTCTTCTTTCCATGCTGTTCTTATGATAGTGAATAAGTCTTACAAGTTCTGATGGTTTTATAAAGGGGAGTTCCCCTACACAGGACCTCTTGCCTGCCACCATGTAAGACGTGCCTTTAGCCTTCCACCATGATTGTGAGGCCTCCCCAGCCATGTGCAACTGTGAGTCAATTAAACCTCTTTCCTTTATACATTACCTAGTATCGGGTATGTCTTCATTAGCAGTGTAAGAACAGACTAATATGCTGCTTCTACAGTTTATTGAATTTAACTTTTAAATCAAGTTGTGATTTTATTGTTGTTGTTGTCTTTGAGTCTTGCCATCCAAATCAAAACTGGGCTAATTTGTGGAAATAATATCTATTGGGTTAAGGAGAGAATTGTTAGATGCAGCCTAAAAGAAAGAATTTAGTGTTCACTGTATCTATCATGAAAGGCTCTTTCTATTTGTTTTCTATTATAAAGTAATATGCTGTATTTCATGGCAAAGGCTTTAAATTGAAAACTCCAAGGCTTAAAATTTAAGCCTTGCATTTGGAAATAGACAACTAGCTCTACAGAAGTAGTTTTGTTTTGTTTTTGTTTGTGTTTTTTTGCAGTGGGGGGCTGGTATTTGGGGGCAGGGAGAGGGGAAAAAGTCCATTTGCTGGTACTGAGTGACTTTGGGCAAGTTACTTGCCCTCTGTAAGCCTCAATTTCCTCATCTATAAAATGGGATATTAGCTTTCTTGTAGGATTGTTGGGAGAATTAAATGAGATAAGGAATATCTGTAAAGCAGTTAACATGAAACAGGCCCTCAATAAATGGAAACTAATTTTATTGTTTGTAATAGAAAACAACAATGTGTCAGCTTCTAGTAATAACTTTAAAATATTCTATGCATACTATATAGCAAAGGCAGTTTTACTTCTAATCACAGAACATATAACACTAAGTATAGTTCTAATACTTAAGAAGCAAAATAACACCAGGGCAGTAACAAATGCTGGAGAGGAGGTAGAGAAAAGGAAACCCTCATATGTTGTTGATGAGAATGTAAATTAGTACAACCACTATGGAGAAGAGTTTGGAGGTTTCTCATAAAAGTAAAAATAGAGTTACCATATGACCTAACAATCTACTGGGTATATACTCAAAAGAAAGGAAATCAGTATATAGAAAATATATTTGCACTCCCATGTTTGTTGCAGCACTATTCACAACAGCCAAAATTTGGAAGCAACCTAAGTGTCCATTCACAGATGAATGGATAAAGAAAATGTGGCACTTATCTGCAATGGATTACTATTCAGCCATAAAAAAGAATGAGATCTTGTCATTTGCAATAACATGGATGGAACCGGAGGTCATTATGTTAAATGAAATAAGCCAGGCACAGAAAGACAAACATCACATGTTCTCACTTATTTTTGGATCTAGAAATCAAAACAATTGAAAACATGAAAATAGAGAGTAGAAGGATGGCTACCAGAGGCTGGGTAGTGTAATAGGGGTGGGGTGGGTAGGGAGGTGAGGATGGTTAATGGGTACAAAAAAAATAGTTGGAAAGAATGAATACAGCCGAGTATTTGATAGCACAACAGGGTGACTATAGTCAATAATAATTTAATTGTACTTTCTAAAATAACTAAGAGTATAATGGGACTCTTTGTGACACAAAGAATAAATGCTTGAGGTGATGAATACTCCATTCTCCGTAATGTGATTATTACATATTGAATACCTGTATCAAAATATTACATGTACCCCATAAATATATACACCTATAATATACCCTCAAAAATTAATTTTTTTTTTTTGAGATGGAGTCTTGCTGTCACCCAGGCTGGAGTGCAGTGGTGCGATCGCAACTCACTGTAACCTCCGCCTCCCAAGTTCAAGAGATTCTCCTGCCTCAGCCTTCTGAGTAGCTGAGATTACAGGCACGTGCCACCACACCCAGCTAATTTTTGTATTTTTAGTAGACATGGGGTTTCATTATGTTAGTCAGGCTGGTCTTGAACTCCTGACCTCGTGATCCGCCCACCTCGGCCTCCCAAAGTGCTGGGATTACAGGCATGAGCCACTGTACCCGGCCAAAAATCTTAAAAAATACCAGGGGACATATCAGCATAGCTGAGCCACTCTGACTTTTTATCAGTTTCCGGAAGACACCCATCTCCTTCTTACCTCTAGGCCTGTGTATTTCCATTCCCTTCAGCCTGGAAAGCTCTTATCCAAGCTATTTACATGGCTGGCTTCTTATTCTTTAGTTGTTAGCTTAATGTCAACTCCTTACAGACACCCTACCTGATTATCTTAGCTCAATTAGGCCGTTCCTTGCTCTAGTCACTATTATAGCATCCTATATATTTCCTTCAGAGAGGTTGTCACAACCTGAATTACCTTATTTTTTTGTTCTTGTTTACTTGCTTACTATCAGTCTCTCCCATTAAGCTCCAATGACATGGTCAAGGACCACATCTACTTGTGGCCCATTGAAGACCCCTTGCCTAACACAGTGTCTGGTACATGTTGAATTGTCAGTAAATATTTGTTGAAACAATTGGTTAATAAATACTGTTCCTGAAAGCCTCTCTGCCACTGTCTCTGCAGTAGAACTGCCCTTGCTACCCTCAGACTAATGAAGAAGAGAAGACCCTAAGTACCTTATTTATACCTCCAACAAGCTGCAATCAACCCAAGAAGAGGAGGCCAGTCCGTCTCCCATGGTTCCCACACCCCCAACCCCCACTCATCACCAGAGAGAACCCCTGGCTTGAGCCCACAGCACAGACCCTTCATCCTGGGGTGATTGCACTGAGGAATTGCTGACCTACATCTCTCTGGTGTGGAGCTCCCAGGATACAAGCAAAAGACCCCTGACCACAACCACTACTAAGGTCCTTTCCTCTGTTGCCGCCAAGTTGAGGAAGGAACGTAAACACTGACATTGCCCCAGAGCTGCAGTGGGCAGCCAGGAGTGTCAAACCACAATCTACAGCCATACAGCTGGCACTCAAGGGGGCGAGGAACCCACACTTTCAGAGCATCGAGAGTGAACACAGCTGTAACTATGAGAAAACATAGAGGAGCCACACAACTGAGCAAGAGTCTACCAGTTGACCAATAAGCCTAAGTGCCACCTACTGGATCACACCCCAAAGCTTCAACACCAAGAATACCTCACTAACATACTCACCTCTGAAACTAGAGACAAGAAGTCAGCTTCAAAAAAAGACCCTGCACAAGGCCTCAGCCTAGTGAAAACAGCCAGAAGTCTATTGACTGTACTCAATCTATATGGCAGTTAAAGGAACACCCACACATGGAGATGAGAAAGAACTAACGCAAGAACTCCAAAAATTAAAATGGCCAGAGTGTCATATGTGCTCCAAATGACCATACAAATTCTCTAACAAGAGTGCTTATCCAGGCTGAGCTGGCTGAAATGACAGAAATAGAATTTAGGATATGTATAGGAATGAAGATCATTGAGATTCAGGAGGACAGCAAAACCCAATCCAAAGAAA
This sequence comes from Homo sapiens, assembly GCF_000001405.40. Taxonomy (NCBI): domain Eukaryota; kingdom Metazoa; phylum Chordata; class Mammalia; order Primates; family Hominidae; genus Homo; species Homo sapiens. The sequence continues at coordinate 87,271,433 of NC_000010.11, forward strand.
CCACAAATCACAATAAAGTGATACAGGAGCTGAAAGACAAAATAGCCAGTATAATAAAGAACCTAATGGGTCCGACATAGCTGAATAACACAGTACAAGAATTTCACAATGCAATCACAAGTATTAACAGTAGAATAAACCAAGCTGAGGAAAGAATCTCAGAACTCGAAAGCTGGCTTTCTGAAATAAGACAGTCAGACAAAAATAAAGAAAAAAGAATAAAAAGGAATGAACAAAACCTCCAAGAAGTAGGGGATTATGTAAAGAAGCCAAATCTACAAATCACTGGCATCCCTGAAAGGAAGGGGGAGAAAGCAAACAGTTTGGAAAACATATTTCAATATATTGTCCATGAAAACTTCCACAACCTTGCTAGAGAGGACAACAGTCAAATACAGGAAATACAGACAACTCCTGCAAGATTCTACACAGGAAGATCATCCCCAAGACACATAATTGTCAGATTTTCCAAGGTGAAAATGAAAGAAAGAATGTTAAAGGCAGCCAGAAAGAAAAGGCAGGTTACCTGCAAAGGAAATCCCATCAGGCTAACAGTGGACCTCTCAGCTGAAACCCTATAAGCCAAAAGAGATTGGGGGCCTATATTCAACATTCTTACAGAAAACAATCTTCAACCAATAATTTTATATGCAGCCAAACTAAGCTTCCCAAGCAAAGGAAAAATAAGATTCTTTTCAGATAAGCAAATGTTGAAGGAATTCTTTACTACCAGACCTGCCTTACAAGAGATCTCAAAAGAAGCACTAAATATAGAAAGAAAAGATCACTACGAGCTAATACAAAAACACACTTAAACACACAGAATAGTGTCACTGTAAAGCAACCACACAAACAAACCAACATAATAATCAGCTAACAACACAATGACAGGATCAAATCCACACCTAACAATGGTAACTTTGAATGTAAATGGGCTAAATGCTCAACTTAAAAGGCACAGAATGACAAGATGGATAAAAAAGCAAGTCCCAATGGTATGCTGTCTTTAAGAGACCCATCTCACACATAATGACACCAAAAGGCTCAAAATAAAGGCATGGAGGAAAATCTACCAAGCAAATGGAAAACAGAAAAAAGCTGAGGTTGCAATCTTAATTTCAGACAAAACAAACTTCAAAACAACAAAGATCAAAAAAGACAAAGAAGGGCATTACATAATGGTAAAGGGTACGATTCAACAACAAGATCCAACTATCCTAAATGTATATGCACCGAACACAGGGGCACCCAGATTCATGAAGCAAGTTCTTAGAGACCTACAAACAGGCATAGACTCCCACACATTAATAGTGGGAGACTTCAACACTCCACTGACAATATTAGACACATAATTGAGGCAGAAAATTAACAAAGATACTCAGGACCTGAACTCAACATTGGACCAAATGGATCTGATAGACCTCTTCAGAGCTCTCTACTCAAAAACAGCAGAATATACATTCTTCCCATCGCCACATGGCATCTACTCGAAAGGCAACTACTTAATTGGACGTAAAACAATCCTCAGCAAATGTAAAATAACTGAAATAATACGAAACACACTCTCTGACCGCAGCGCAATAAAAATAGAAGTCAAAGACCAAGAAAATCTTCAAAATCAGGCAATGACATGAAAACTAAACACGCTCCAGAATGGCTTTTGGGTAAATAATGAAGTTAAGGCAGAAATCAAGAAGTTCTTTGAATCTAATGAGAACAAAAATATAACATACCAGAATCTCTAGGACATAGCTAAGGCAGTGTTAAAAGGGAAATTCATCGCATGAAATGCCCACATCAAAAAGTTAGAAAGATCTCAAATTAACAACTTAACGTAACAGATGAAGGAATTAGAGAGGCAAGAACAAATCAACCACAAAGCTAGCAGAAAACAAGAAATAACCAAAATCAGAGCTGAAATGAAGGAATCTGAGACACGAGAAACCATTCAAAAGATCAACAAATCCAGGAGTTGGTTCTTTTAAAAAATTAATAAGATAGATAGGCTACTAGCTAGACTAATAAAGAAGAAAAGAGAGAAGATCCAAATAAACACAACTGGAAATGACGAAGGGAATGTTACCACTGACCCCACAGAAATAAAAATAACCACTAGAAACCACTATGCACTCAAACTAGAAAACCTAGAAGAGATGGATAAATTCCTGGACACATACACCCTCCCAAGACTGAACCAGGAAGAAACTGATCCCCTGAATAGACCAATAATGATCTCCAAAAGTAAGTCAGTAATAAATAGCCTACCAACCAAAATAAAGCTCAGGACCTCATGGATTCACAGCTGAATTTTACTATATGTACAAAGAAGAGCTGGTACCATTTCTATAAAAACTATTCCAAAAAACTGGGGAGGAAGGACTCCTCCCCAGCTCATTCTACGAAGCCACCATCATTCTGATACAAAAACTTGGCAGAGACACAACAAAAAAGAAAACATCAGGCCAATATCCTTGATGAACATCAATGCAAAAATCCTCAGCAAAATAATTTCAAACTGAATCCAGCAGCACATCAAAAAGCTAATCCACCATGATCAAATAGACTTCATTCCTGGGATGCAAGGTTGGTTCAACATACGCAAATCAATAAATGTGATTCATCACATAAACAGAACTAAAGACAGAAACCACATAATTATCTCAATAGATGCCGAAAACGCTTTAGATAAAATTCAACACCCCTTCATGTTAAAAACTCTCAATAAACTAGGTATTGAAGGAACATACCTCAAAATAATAAGAGCCATGTTTGACAAACCCACAGTCAACATCATACTGAATGGGAAAAGCTGGAAGCATTCCCCTTGAAAACTGGCACAAGACAAGGATGCCTTCTCTCACCACTCCTATTCAACATAGTATTGGAAGTCCTAGACAGAACAGTCAGGCAAGAAATAGAAATAAAGGGCATCCAAATAGGAAGAAAGGAAGTCAAACTATCTCTCTTTGCAGATGACATTATTCTATATCTAGAAAACCTCTTTTTTTTTTTTTTTTTTGAGACAGAGTCTCACTCTTGTTGCCCATGTTGGAGTGCAGTGGCATGATCTCGGCTCACCACAACCTCCGCCTCCTGGGTTCAAGTGATTCTCCTGCCTCAGCCTCCCAGAGCAGCTGGGATTAGTGATATACACCACCACACCTGGCTAATTTTGCATTTTTCAATAGAGACAGGGTTTCTCCATGTTGGTCAGGCTAGTCTTGAATTCCTGACCTCAGGTGATCCACCCACCTCAACCTCCCAAAGTGCTGGGATTACAGGCATGAGCCACAACACTTGGCCTATATCTAAAAAACCTTATAGTCTTGGCCCAAAATTTCCTTCAGCTGATAAACAACTTCAGCAAAGTTTCAACATACAAAATCAACGTACAAAAAACACTAGTATTCCTATACACCAACAACAGCCAAGACAAGAGTTAAATCAGAAAGGCAATCCCATTGACAGAAAGAATCAAATATCTAGGAATATAGCTAACTAGGGAGGTGAAAGACCTCTACAATGAGAATTACAAAGCACTGCTCAAAAATATCAGAGAAGACACAAACAAATGGAAAAACATTCCATGCTCATGGATAGGAAAAATCAGTATTATTAAAATTGCCATACTGCCCAAAGAACTTACAGATTCAATGCTATTCCTACTAAAGTGCCAACAACCTTTTTCATGGAACTAGAAAAATCTATTTTAAAATTTATATAGAACCAAAAAGAGCTCAAATAGTCAAGGCAATCCTAAGCAAAAATAACAAAGCTGGAGGCATCATGTTACCTGACTTCAAACTATACTACAGGGCTACAGTAACCAAAACAGCATGGTAATGGTACAAAACCAGGCACATAGACCAATAGAACAGAATAGAGAGCCCAGAAATAAGGCCACACACCTACAATAATCTGATCTTCAACAAAGCTGGCAAAAACAAGCAATGGGGAAAAGACTCCCTGTTCAATAAATGGTGCTGGGGTGACTAAGCAGCCACATGCAAAAGATTGAAGCTGGACCCCTTCTTTATACCATTTACAAAAATAAACTCAAGATGGACTAAAGACTTAAATGTAAAACCCAAAACTATAAAAACTCTGGAAGACAACCTAGGCAATACCATCTTGGACACAGAAACAGACAAAGATTTCATGACAAAGACACCAAAAGCAATTGCAAGAAAAGCAAAAATTGACAAGAGGGATCTAATTACTCTTAAGAGCTTCTGCATAGCAAAAGAAATTATCAACAGAGTAAAGAGACAACCTACAGAATGGGAGACAATTTTCAAACTGTGCATCTGACAAAGGTCTAATATCCAGCATCTATAAGAAACTTAAACAATATTACAAGAGAAAAACAACCCCATAGAAAGTGGGCAAAGGACCCCTTAGAAAGTGGGCAAAGAACATAAACAGACACTTTTCAAAAGAAGGCATACATGTGGCCAAGAAGCACATGAACAAAAGCTCAATATTACTGATCATTAGAGAAATGCAAATCAAAACCACTATGAAGATACCGTCTCACACCAGTCAGAATGGCTATTACTAAACAGTCAAAAAAAAAAAAAAAAAAAAAGAAAACCAGATGCTGGTGGTGAGGTTACAGAGAAATGAGAACATTTATATGCTGTTGGTAGGAGTGCAAATTAGTTCAACCATTGTGGAAAGCAGTGTGGTGATTCCTCAAAGAGCTAAAAGCAGAACTACCATTTGACCCAGCAATCCCATTACTGGGTATATACCCTGAAGAATATAAATCATTCTACCATAAAGACACGTGCATGCAAATGTTCATCTTGGCTTGGTTTCTCATTCTTTTGTTCACTTTTCGGAGTCATTTTCCTACCATTCATTTGTGCATGCAGTGTCTGAATTTCAGATAACAAACTCCTATGTGCTTTCTGGAGGCATTCCATAGCTGCTTGATATTCAACAGCACTATTCACAGTAGCAAAGACATAGAATCAACCTAAATGCCCATCAACAACAAATTGGATAAAGAAAATTGGGTACATTTATACCATGGAATACCGTGCAGCCACAAAAAAGAATGAGTTCATGTATTTCGTGGGAACACGGATGGTGCTGGAGGCTATTATCGTTAGCAAACTAACACAGAAACAGAAAACCAAATACCACATGTTCTCACTTATAAGTGGAAGCTAAATGATGAGAACTTACAAATGTGAAGAAGGAGACAACAGACACTGGGGTCTACTTGAGGGTGGAGGGTGGGAGGAGGGAGAGGAGAAGAAAAGATAGCTATTGGGTACTGGGCTTAATACCTGGGTGATGAAGTAATCTGTACAACAAACCCCCATGACATGAGTTTACCTATGTAACAAACCTTCACATGTACCCCCAAACCTAAAATAACAGTTTTTTAAAAATAATCAATATTGTCCCAGTCCTCCATTTTACAGATATGGAAGTTGTGATTAAAATGTGATTAATGTCACAGAAATACTAGGAAAGCCAAGCTTCTAACAGTCATTCCAGGGTCATTGCCAGGGTGTCAAATCCTATGTCACTGCACAGTATTACTATAACAACAAAGTGTCCCTTTCCTGACTTCCTATTCCCCATTCTTGATCCAGCATCTTTGGGATCCACTTCCAGGCATTTTCTCTGGGGTCCTGCTGGCTTAAGTCAGCCAGATCCTGCAGTGCCTTTGCCATATGATCCTCCCCTCCCTTAACAGACACTGTACTTACCCAGTTGGATTATACTGAAACTTAGTCCTCATACTGTCTGGTATCGGGGAGAGAAGTGGGGGTAGATTCTGAGCAGGACCAACATTGTTTTGTAAGACACTTGACTTACTCGAAGCTTATAGTTTTCAAGCAAGGAGAAGGTCTTCCATCTTCCAGCAAGGGAGTGGGCCACCTCTGTAGGCCCAGATATTCCGGAGAAGCTGGGAGGCCAAGGTCCTTAAGTGTGTCTAATAAGTTTCCCCATTCCAATTCTCATGTTCCCACTTTTTTCCAATCAGGACCCTGATTCTCTTGAAGGAGACTTACACAGGCTGAGAATTAACCTTCTCTGGCGTTCTGCCACTCATAAGTACAGGCTGCACCTGGGCTTCAGTTCAGTTGGCCTTCTGGCTGCCAGTGATGAGGGACTTTTTAAAGGCTTCCATGGAGGCCCTTTGACTCTCACACTTGGGTTTAAATTGGTGGTTAATAGATTTGATCCTGGCATCTATACTTAGTGCATCAATGGTGCTTACCAATACCCTCCCAATTCAACAATCTTTCAAGTTACTTTTCCACCTGTACTCTCAAATACTAGATACATCACAGAAGTTAATGCATTCGCTTCTACTTATATGCTGTCCTGGTTCACTACAAGTAAAAGTGTTAGCAATTTCACTGCAGGAGCACATCTGAGACTATCTTCAGGGAAGAGATTCTGATGGGACCACTGGTGAGTGAGCAAACTCCAGAATCCCATCCTTAGACTCAGGTGTATATAACTACTACTGCTATCAACTGTCTTAGATTGGGCTCTTGCAGCTGACCCTGAGAATTAGATTCCTGTCCAAGTGATTGCCTGAGGGAGTGCTCTCAGAAGAAATCTGAACAGCGAGGAAGGAAGCAGAATAGGACAGGAAAAGAAGCTGGGAAAGATATGGGTTTAGCTGAAGTCTAGCCTCAGTCTGATCCCACAGGGAGTTCTGGAGCCTCAGTTCTGTACACCCGTATCAATCAGTCATTGGCTGTGAGCTACCCACGGGGGAAGGCTGTTACCTTCCAGGCATTTTCTGAAATTGTTGGCTTGAATGGAATCCTCAGGGAAAGAGTGTGAACTATTAGCAGCCAACACTCTCAGCAGCTAAGGGATGAGTACGCCAGCTCATTGAAGAGATTCTGGACAGGACACCAACAGCATCTTCAGTAAAGATGTACTTCAATGGTAAGGACACTGAACCCAGAAAGAAGGAGTCACATGCAAGAAGAAATGGTGGACCAAGAAATGTATAAACATCTGGCTATATCTGAATAAGCACTCTTATACACAACAATAATGGGGAACAATGGCTAATTTGGAGATGGAGGGTATTTAAAAGGCAGAATTTAAACAATAAACATTAATAAGGAATATGGGGTAATTAGTATTGAAAGTTTCTAAAGCCCTTGTATTTCTGAGGTGAAGGGTAAATACATTAATTAAATTTAGATTTTATTATGTCAAGTTATACTTGTAAAAATTTAATGGAGCTCCCAGATGTAGGGAGTAAATTAAACACATGCATCAAATTTGGTCCTCCCCAAATCCAGTTAATTTGTCAGTGAATTTTTTTAAGTCCTGGGCCATGGGAAAATAAACAATAATAACACAATTTTGGAAAATTGGATGAGTGAGAAAAGACTTAGCAGAACTCCCAAATTAAAGTACTAAACCAGCAGCAGGAAAGCCAAGAAGCAACTTGTTTTACACTCAAGAGCCTTCAAGTGTCAGGAATTGGCAGCATCAGATTCTTCTGGAAGTGTGGTGAAGAGGAGAGACTAAAATGAGAATGATGCGCTGAAAGTTTATTTAAGAAGCAGTCAGATCACTAGATCCTTTCCAATCATGAAAAGGTACACTACCGCTTCTATTTCCCTTCTCTTTCCCAGGAAGCATATTCACAGGAGAGAGAGAACAGGTTTCCTGCTTGGGGATCCCAAGCAGAGTTGAAGTTGGGAGCACTGTACTGAACAAAGCCAGCTTAAGAAAATGCATGCATACTGAATGCCCACCTCTCTCTACTCCACTATCTCGCTTGACCCAGATCCAAAATAGTAGTAGCAGACTTTGACTCTTCTGACAGGAGATTGGAAGAATCTTACCTGATCAGTCCAGGAGGAAAACCTAAATGCAGTAACATCAGGGTTCCCTAACTAAGCTGTCCAGAACTTACCATCTTCACCAAAACAAGAAATTAAACCAATAAAGTGGAAGATCAGGGCAACACACCCAGGACATACACCCAGGTTGGGAGACACATGTAGGAGAGTAAGACAGTGAGGCCAGAATGATGCTGAGGGAAAGTCCCAAGATGACAGCTTTATGTCTTACGCATCAGGCATAAAGACCAATAGGCCATCAGAAGAATGAAGCATATTTTGTCAGGAAGATGAAAGCAATGCATCTTAGTAGCTTAAGAGAAGATTTAGAGAACTGGCAAATAATTTGGGATTAAATTAGTGATAAGTACATAGAAAACTAAGCAAATGGTAAAACAAGATAATTAGCTCCAGGGCAAGCAAAAAGCTGCTCAGGAAAGAAAAATTTATCATAGTTTCCTACATGGCTCAGCTGTGAACAGTTTGTGCATAGTTATATTAATGTAAATATATTGCTTGATATCAAACGCAAACATAATATGACTGTATTGTGAGGGCGTGAAGAGGAAAGAAGGCACATATATGGTGGGAGCAGTCATTTTCTAGAGTGGGAAGTCAGTAGATAATACCAAAAACTGGAAAATTGAGAAATATAAGAAATTGAGAAATGAATGTTTTTTAGAGACATGGAAGTAGATACCAACATGACCAGTAAAAGAAATGTAAATGATTGTTTCAGGGGAAGGAAGGAGGGATATAAGGCTCATGAGGAAGTATCTGATATTTTCAACTATGAGTTTTTAAAATTTTTGGTGAAATAAAATCTAAATATAAAAACAAAGATGGAATGGGAATATAATGAAATATTCAACTAAAAATATTTCAATGGCAACTACTGAAAGAATGCAAAGAAAATATATAATTTCCAAACCAGTATGAGGAGAAAAAAGAAAAAGAGAAAAAAATAAAACACTTCAGTAATCCCTTAGAAAACAGGAAAGAAGAATGGAAGAAGCAAAGCAGAAGCTTGGTAATAAAGAAAAGAAAAAAAAAGTAAAAGAGGCTGAGCACAGTGGCTCATGCCTGTAATCCAACACTTTGGGAGGCTGAGGTGGGCAGATCACTTGAGCCTAGGAGTTCAAGACCAGCCTGGACAAGATGGTGAAACCCCGTCTCTACAACAAATACAAAAATTAGCCAGGTGTGGCAGCTCGCGTCTGTAGTCCCAGCTACTTGGGAGGCTGGGGTGGGAGGATTGCTTGAGCCTAGGAAGTAAAGGCTGCAGTGAGCTGAGATTGTGCCACTGCACTTCAGCCTGGGCAACAGAGCAAGACCCTGTCTCAAAGAAAGGAAGGATGGAAGGAAGGAAGGAAGGGAGGAAGGGAGGGAGGAAGGAAGAAAAAGGAAGGGAAGAGGGACGGAAGGACAGAAGAGAGAGAGAGAGAGAGAGAGTGAGATTCAACTAAGGTAACCAGGCAAGCTTTGGAAGAGAAGTGTAAGAAGAAGAAAGGGATTTTAAAGAATGTGTGGATAAGTGTGACAGTCTTCAGCCAAACAAACTGATTCCCAGCAGTCAAAGACAAGTACTCAAGCACTGCAGGGCCATGAGGACCTTGAGAAAAAGGAAAGGTGGTAAGGAAATCACTCAGAGTGGGCCCTGGGTGCTGGCCAATAGGTGGTGCTGTCTGTATGGACAGCAGTGTTGTCATCCAGGGCAGCAACACAGTGGAAAGGAAATCCAAAGCTTAATGAGCCATTCACATATAAGAACCTTTGCCAGCTAAGTGTTCATAATTTGAGAATTACATATATTTCAGTATTCATTATATGACTCAAGATTTCAATATTTCAATATTCAATCTACACAACTGATATGGTTTGGCTCTGTGTCCCCACCCAAATCTCATTTCAAATTGTAATCCCCACATGTTAGAGGAAAGGCATGGGGGGAGGTGACTGGATCATGGCGGTGGATTTCTCTCTTGCTGTTCTCATGATAGTGAGTAAGTTCTCAAAAGATCTGATAGTTTTAAGGTGTGGCAATTCCCCCCTTGCTCTTTTACTCTCTCTTGCCACCATGTAAGATGTGTCTTGCTTCTCCTTCACCTTCTGCCATGATTGTAAGTTTCCCCAGCCCTGCAGAACTGTGAGTCAATTAAACCTCTTTTTCTTTATAAATTACCCATTCTCAAGTAGTTCTTTATAGCACTGTGAAGATACAATAACCAACACTTATACAATACAATAACCAACACTTAACTAGTATTAATGATATACCCCTATTAAGCAAAAGGATTTCTTGAGTGAAGTAAACCCAATAACCAGTATTTCTTTTCAAAAACATCTATAAAAATACTAGGTTTCTATAAAATTTTCCAGATACCACTTGATAGTCATTCAATTGAACATTGAATATGCTTTGTCTCAATTTCCAACATTCAAGATAAATATTTTTTCTATTTTATTACCTTTTTCATTTTATCATTAAAATTATTATATCATATTTTTTCATTTTTAAAGAGAGAGTATTTCAGTAACTTTATAAATTAAGTAAGTTTTTGCTGGCCAATTTGGAAAACTAAACAACTATTTTAAAAGAGGAAAACGCACACCGGAATCAACAAGTAAAAATTGAATGTCATTTTTATTACTATTTTTACTTATAAGAATTATAGAAATATTTGGTTATTTCAATTCCCTATGTGTATAACTCATCACAATTTGATAAGGAGATAGGTTTAAGTGTATGTGTATATAAAAAGAGACTGAAAGGAAAAAGATAAGTAGTTATCTCTGATTGGTTGTTGGGATTAGCTATATTTTCCAAATACTCTAGAATGAATATGTATTACTTTTCTATTATTAATTGGGTTAGGGATTAAAAAAACATTAGACCTGTATGTTAAAGTTGAACCAGCATCGTCAGGAAGGATACAAAAATCACCTGCCAAACGATGTCCATTTCAATTTACTTTATGTCCTTTCTAGGACCACTGTGAGCAGTTGTAGGTACCTGTGAGAGTGCTCAATGTAAAAAAAAATTTCTGTTACCCTAAATTGGGTTAATGATAAGTGTCTAAAGGAGATGTAGATCTAGCATATAAGACCTTCTAGATAAATTTAAAGATATCAGGAATGAAGGCTGCAGAGGAGTACTTTGGAAAAAAAGTTTAGTAATGAAAAGCAATATGAATTGTTTCAGAAATACTGTGACTTGGAGACATGGGAAGTGTATCAAACAGAAGTCGAGGACAGACATAAATGAAGTGACTTGCTTTCAATACGACAGATGTCCAAGACGGAAAAATGTCACCCAGGGCAAGAAAATGACTCAGGCTGGAATAAAGAAACTAGCTGCAGAGAGAATAATTTAATCAGGAAATCGAAGCCAGGTACAGTCGCTCACGCCTGTAATCCCAGTGACTCCAGAGCCTGAGGCAGGAGGATTGCTTGAACCCAGGAGTTTGAGGCTGCAGTGAGCTATGATTGCACCACTGCACTCCAGCCTGGGCAACAGAGTAAGACCTCATCTCTACCAAAAACAAACAAACAAACAAACAAACAAAACCCATAGGGAACCAAGTGGAAGACTTAGGATCTATTGTCTTCTTTTATCTCAAGCTGGTGGAAATAGCTCTGCATTTAAAGGTAGAAATAAGGATGGAGCAGATAGACAACCCAAAACTAAGAGTCATAACTATAAAATACCTAAATACATATTAATTTTCACCAAGCTAAAGTGAAAAATGAAATGTTCAATACTATCTATGCTGTATTTGTACGTATGGGATATGGTGTGTGGTGGATACTGGGCTGGGCCCTTGAAACTATGAGGCTAATAACACTGAGAAGGGAAGATGGGAGAAAAAGCAGTATGGGAGGTCTTAAAGTCTTGGTAACTTCAGAAATGTGCTAGGATTTGTGGGCAGCAGATATTTCAAAACACTAAGTAAAGAACGCTGGAGTTAAAGGCATGGAGCTTCAGAAAGTTATTAGCACTGATAGCCAACCACGGTGGTGGGTGCCTGTAGTCTCAGTTACTTGGGAGGCTGGGGTGGGAGGATTGCTTGAGCCCAGGAGTTCAAGGCTGCAGTGAGCTATGATCATATCACTGCACTCCAGCCTGGGTGACGGAGACCCCATCTTTAAAACAAAACAAAACAAAACAAAGATAAGAAGAAAAGAAAGTTACTGGCACTGAGAGCCAGACAGATGCCCAAAGTAAGAGCCCATTAAGAATTTCCACCATGAGATAACTGGAACAGTAATTTTCACATTAAAAATAGCTTTCTTCCTGCACTTAAAGGGATGGTTCGAGGAAGCAGATTCTAAAGGAGAGGTGAAAAAGAAGACATGCTCTGGATGTTTGGAGATACAGCTATAAGCCAACATCCTCGGCAAGCCCTGTACCACCCCAATGCCACCACTCCCTGTTCCAGTGGGTAGACATGGGTGGGAGCAGCATGAGTGATTACAGTTAGGGGGCTAATATCACCGTCTTTATTTCATCATGTCTCCAACATTCTGAGAAGGACATAGTGGTCACTATCCCTCAACCAAAGAAACTGATGAGTGCAGTAGGAACCTGCTTTGGAGGGTTCACATTGGGACTCATCAATGTGGAAGGTAAAAATCTGAAGATACAATTGAAATCTAGATAGCCTTGAATGGTATGGACAAGGAGACATAAAATCTGCTTACTAAATCAGAATAATAAGATGAAAGGTCAATAATAAGCATAGAAAGGTCAATAATGGAATAATAATAGTAGAGGTCATCCCTAGAAGGTTGAAAACATTTTCAAGTAAATATAAGAAACTCCTTATTGTACGTAGTAGTGCAGGCTGGAAAAATATACTTATTTAGTTCAAATCATGTGACAGGCACTAGGAATAAAGTTAGTCCCTGCCCTCACAGGGTTCAAGGTCTAAATGGAATAATAGATATGAAATAACTCAACAAGTAAATAGCTCAGCTGTTGGAAATCAAACAAGGAGAAGAAAAGAAAAAGGACATAGTGCTATAAAAGAAAATCTTTATAAAATTCAAAACCATTTAAAATATGTTGCCATTGATTTCCTTATTAACAGGTTTTAATACCTCCATCTTTCTCTAATAGTTTTCAGTTTATTAGAAACAGTATGTGAACTTTTTAGATTAAAAATTTCCAGCATAGGTTTATCACTTATTATATCCTTTTATTCCTTGAAATGGATGATTGTCAGGCAGAAATTTAGGACAAAGGAGCTGGAAAATATTCATGAGACTCAGGAACAAAGCTATTACTCCAACTGTAAGGTTTCATTATAAGCACGTAAATATAGTTCAAAGTTACCACATCTGTAAACTCAAAAATGCTGCTCACTTGGCTGGATCCAATCAATATTTGCTAACCATTATTTTAGTTATTCTTCATATAGACAGGCGCTTTGTTTCTTAGAAGAAATCACTGTCCATAACCAAAAAAAAACTTAATTGTGAAATGGTTTTATTTAAAACAGTCTTTTCTGGTTATTGAACATTTCATATGAATAAATTAATCTTCATGCATATGATAGCTTATCTGAAATAGCTTCCCAATTCTTTAAAATACCAAAGGCTTCTTTTCTCAGAATAAGGCATTTTGCCATCACGTGGTTTATTAGCAGAATAGGAAAATTAATCTTATTCTAAGCAAAAGCAGAAATATAATTAGCCAAACCAAGAAAAGTGTGACATTTGCCCATGAACTCTTCATTCAGATAATATATCTATTTTGGGAACTCATGAGACAGAAGCAAGACAAAAATATGAGAAGATATTAGGTTTCTCTAACTATTGTTCAAAATTAGAAAATGGATGTGGCTTTTATGTTGACTCTTTCAATACCTATATGAAGACAGTTAAAGGATGTATGAAATTAAAAAGCGACATCAGTGATTATTAGTAACTACTTCACAGGAAGCAAATGGGAGTATCATTGTAGTTAGTGGTATGTGAACGACTGATTGTACTGGTTTATCTTCATGCTCTCGCCTCTTCTCTTTAACTCTACGCAGTACATAGTATGGGATTATCTTTACCACATGCCCCTAGAGATTCTGTTTCACTTCACTCAGAACCTAGAAACCACTTGCTCCAAAACTTGAAAAATATTAAGAGCTGATGTCCCCAGACTGCTCCTCAACCTTGAACTCAAACCACTAAGCTCCAGGATAAATTCGTTTAAAATGATTGTGCTTAAATTTTCATGTGGGTCTAAATTTGCTGGGAGAGAAAGTCCTTTGTTTGTATTTTCGCATATTGAGAATATTTATCATGATTATTACACTGAAGAGCCTAACTATTCATTTACCCCATTTTTAAGATGTAGTAAAGACATTTTCCTCTGTGGAGGAAGCTATTGTGCAAGATTTTATCACGTGTTGGCGGAAAATTTGAGTGTCTGAATTTTGTTTCACACATGTGTTCAGCTTTGCATGTGTATTTCTGTGTGTATATAGAACATAGAAAAGAGTCTAGATTAGAAGATAATGTACTGACCACGTTCAAAGTGATTATTTCATCACGCAGGTAATAAGCATAGTACTCCATAGGAAGTTTTTTGATTCTCTCCCTCCTCCCAGCCTCCACCCTCAAGTAGGCCATGGTGTCTCTTTTTCCGCTTTTTGTGTTCATGTGTTCTCATGGTGTATCTCCCACTTATAAGTGAGAGCATGCAGTATCTGGTTTTCTGTTTCTTCATTAGTTTGCTTAGGATAATGGCCTCTAGCTCCATCCATATTGCTGCAAAGGACATGATCTTTTTCTTTTTTATGGCTGCTTAGTATTCTGTGGTGAATATGTACCATATTTTCTTTATTCAGTCTACTACTGATGGGCATATAGGTTGATTCCATGTCTTTGCTATTGTGAATAGTGCTGCAATGAACATACATGTGCATGTGTTTTTATGGCAGGATGATTTACATTCCACTGGGTATATGCCCAATAATGGGATTGCTGGGTTGAACGGTAATTCTATTTTAAGTTTTTCAAGGAATTGCTACACTACTTTTCACAATGGCTGAACTAATTTACATTCCCACCAGCAGTGTATAAGTGTTACAAAAGATTATTTATGAAGACAGAGATTATATGGGAGTATTCTTTTCTTTAGTATGTTCCTCTTTATTTTCTAGATTTTTTGCAGTGAGCATACCTTACTTCATGATGAGGAAAAAAAATTGTTATTCCTCCAAAATGATTGAGCACTTTGTATGTACACAATACTGCAATAAGTGATTACGGGAATTAAAAAAAACCTTTTTTCTTTTTTGGAGCTTTCAATATTCACAAATAAGTTGACGCTATGTGATAATATTTGTATTGCCTGTTATGTATCAGATACTTCTCCCATTTAATTTCACATACTCTATCTCCTTTAATCCAAATATAGAGAATACGTGTCAATCCACTCCATGTTATTGTAAATAATGTTGACAATGCACAGAGACGCATATTTTATAATAGTAAGTTACAAACACAAGGTAAAAATAGGCAGACAGAAAGCTATGCATAAAGACTAAATGGAAAGCAGTCTAGATAGTGATAATTTTTTTCTACCTACTAAATTTACTAGTAGGAGCATGTATCCTTCCCATAATGAGAGAAAAAATGAACTTTTAATGATTTTTAACATATATGACAGCCATGGAACAATTCTGTGCTAACTTTGGGGTACTTATGTGCAGCATATTGGACATTTAGTGAAAAGAGAGACCACTGTGAGATGATGAAGCTGGAGAAGGCTTCAAGAAGCAATGCAGGGCTCCCTGAGTACTTTAAAGGAAGGGCAAGTTTCTTTAAGAATGTGGAAGGAGGACAAGGAGGACGTTATAGAAAGAAAATAACTTGTACAATAGCAACAAGAACTGGTCCATTTATAAAACAGGAGCTTGCTCAGGTGGTGGCTATGAGGATTAAGTAAGTTGGTGCACCTGGCATCATGCCTGGATGAAAGGTGCTCAGGAAATATTAGCCATCATGATGATGGTGCTGGTGAGAATGGAGAAGAGGGATGAATTCAAGACACAGTCCAAAGGACTAAATGGTAAACTTGTTCACAGTCTGGTTCCTTGAATAGAAATAAAAGTGCCAACTAGGCCTTCATTGTTTCTCTCCCAAGACAGCAGAAGGAGAGTGCCCGTGTCAGAAGGGGAACAGGCTGGGGAGCTGGGCAGCAGGGGTAGGTGATGAGACAAGTTTGGGACACTCAGAGTTAAAAGTTTGGGAGGTAAAGGAAGTGTGGCCAGTGAGGCGGAGAACACAGAGGTGGCATCAGAGAAACAAGAGAGGGAAGATTTTTCAGGGATGTCATCAACTCTTCAGCCAGCGGAATGCAGGCGGAGTTGAAGAAGTGGAAAGAGAAGTCCCCCAGTGCTATACTAATTGTGTCACCAATTGAAGCACCCTGCTTTCCCTATTCTTGCATCTAATTGCAGTACGCTACCATGAAACCAGTTCATTCTGTGCTCAATTTGCTGTTCTGCTTAAAGGGACTTAAACTTGATATCTGAAGGCCAACTGCTACGGGCCATTACATTTATTTCCTTCCAGGCATTGTATGTAGATAAGCAATTAAATGAGGGAAAAGAAGTTGAGAGTCATTTATCATGGAGAAAAAAAAAAAAAAAACCATTGAACAAGGCTGTACAAGCAAACCTATTTGGATTGAAGAAAACATAACGTTTAATTCTCAGAAACAAATGCAAGCATCGGTCCAAGTCTTCCTTCCCAAACCTTTGTCATTTAGGGATTGAGAAGCTGAGTTGGGTGAAAGGTTGAATAGAAAACAAAAAGGAAAGCTAGAAACACGCTGAGCTCATGGAGATGCAGCTTCTTCTGTAGCTCCTAAAGCCCAGCTGAGGTATCATCTAATGAGAATTCTCTCTATGCCAGGCACTGCGCTAAGCATTTCACATCATTAAGCAATGTGAGTTTTAGGCAACCCCGAAGCAGGCAGTCTGTTCATCCCAATTGCAGCTGAGGAAACAGGGTGAGTGAGGCCAAGCAGCTGGCCCAAGGTCCCCTGCCTGGTAAGTGGCACAGCCTGCAGCCCTGCCAGGTGGTCCCGCTAACCAAGCCGGCGCTTTTCTGTCACCATGCCGTATCGCCTCCTGTACTATCAAAATGTACTATCAAATTTACCTCAAAAGAAAACCCTCTGTCTTCTGAGAAGCTCCGGAAGGTCCAACACGTTGCCTGCCAACAAAAAAACATGAAGAGTTAAAAATTAGCTATCGTACGTAAATTATTAGCCATTTACATTGTATGTAAATTATGTTTCATTAAACTTTAAAAATTAGAAAAAGATTTTCTTCTGGTAGATTTCCTTAAAAAAGTGTTACCTTTAAGTTTTACACTTAAGTGACCCATGTTATCTGTTTTAATGAATAATTTTCCTAATAGAAAATTATTATGTGGAAGACGACGACGGTAGCGGGTGGCAATTTAGGATAAAAAGTGATCAAGTGAACTCAGGACAGCGAACTCTTTCTAACTGTGCACAAATATAACTGTCTATTCTCTTCCTGGTGGCATCAACTCAAAATTTCAGTTCATTCATTTATTCAGCAAGTATTTATAAACCAAATGAACCATATGAAATCGCCATTCTTGTAGGTTAAAAATGGTCATATGTGGGTAATTCCAAATAGTTCAACCTAATATGAAGAACCCTCTGTGTGGTAGAATAGATAATATCATGGGAGCTGGGAATATAGTGTTGCATAAATGGACCAAGGTCCTGCCTTTATCTTGCTACATTCTGGTGGTCTAAGACATAAACAAGCAAAAAGATACATTAACAAAATTATCCCAAATTGTGATAAGAAATAAACAGGATAAAATAATTAATAACTTACTTGAGGTGAATTGAAAGCTACACTGAATAAAGAGATCAGAAAAAGTAAGGTGGATGGAACATCAGAGGAAGATCATTCCAGACAAGGGGAGAGGCAGGTTGAACGTCCATGAAGCAGATTGAAACTCCTTAGCAGGGCCCTGCTGAGTGAGGGGACTTGTTATTAGGGGAGTTCAGAGAAGTAAATGGAAGTGAGTTTTGTAGGGCTTCAAGGACCCTGACAAAGAGTTTGAATTTTATTCTAAGTTAGAAGAAAGTCACTGAAGGCTTTTTGCCTAAAGAGTTGACATGATTCAGTTAATGTATTAAAATATAACTTATGGTGACGGGTACAGTGGCTCAAACCTGTAATCCCTGCTAGTTGGGAGGGTGAGGCAGGAGGTTTGATCCCAGGAGTTCAAGGGCAACAGAAGGAGACCTTGTATCTTTTATATCTATATCTATATCCATCTATATCTTATGGGTAAAGGAAATATTCTATATTTTTATCATAGTGGTTACATGACTGAATTTATTTGTCAAAAGTCACTGGAATGTATACCTAAATATGTGAATTGCTGCATTTTACTCTATGCAAATTGTACCTCAAAAAACCTAACCAAAAACAAACAAATGAAAAGATAACTCTGAGCTGAAGCCATTAAAAATTATTTATCTGGAAGGTATTGGTATGTCTTGTTTGTTTGTTTCCTTTTGGTGGTATCATTTGTTGAACTCTGCCTGCTTAAACTCTGCACATGTATTTTTTTTGTAAAATTAAAATTATATTTTATGAAAGATAACTCTGGCTACTGAGTGGAGAGGAATTTATAAGACAGCAAGACTAGAGACTGGGAGACCATTTAGGAGACTATGGCAAGAAATGAGACTATGGCAAGAAATAGTCGTGGTGGTGATAGTGGAACTGAGAAATGGGAATAACATTAAAAACATAATTTGGAAGTAGAACTGACAACACTTACTGATGGGTTGGATGTGGGCAGAGGGGGTAAAGAAAAAGAAATCAAGGATGACTTTTGGGGTGGGGGTGTCCACATGGACAAGGCATGGTTGAAAAGAGGGAACAAACAGTTCAATGAAGGGTTTGTTTTGGACTTTAAAATATTTGAGGTGGCTATTTATTATTCATCCAAGTGGAGGAGTCAAGAAGGAAGTTGGACACATAGGCCTGCAGTTGAAGGAAGAGATGAGGACTAAATCTGTATGTCATCAGTATACATACGATGTCTTAGTCACTTTGTGCTGCACAATATTACAGACTGGGTAATTTATAAATTATAGACATTTATTTCTCTCAGTTCTAAGGGCTGGGAAGTCCAAGATCAAGGCACCAGCAAGTTTGGTGTCTGATGAGGACCTGGCATCTTCTCACTGTAGCATCCTTACATGGGAGAAAGGAGAAGAACAAAAAGAGCTTAGCTAGTTCCCTCCATCCCTTTTATAAGGTTCTAATTCATTTATACAGGCAGCTCCCTCACGACCTAATCACCTCCTAAAGGCCTTGCCTCTTGACAATGCTGCATTGGGGATTGAGTCTCAATATGAATTTTGAAGGGGACATATACATTCAAACCATTTCACATGGTATTTAAAGCCTTGGGCTGGATTGAGATAGAAGACCAAGGGTAAAGAAGAGGGCCCTATAGCACTACAAATTTGGAAGACTAGTAGGGAAGGAGGATCAGCCAAGCAGGGAGACCCACATTGTCTGTTCCAAGAGGTATATACATTTAACCCTTTGAGTGTTGAATCTGTGAATTAGTCAGTTTGGCTGCCATAACAAAACACCATAGACTGGGTGGCTTAAACAATAGATATTAATTTTTTCACAGCTCTGAAGAGGGAAGAGGAAGATCAGGGTGCCAGCGTGGTTGGCTTCTAGTGAGTGCACTCTGTGCCTTGCAGACAGCTGCCTTCTCACTGCACGCTCATGTGGCCTTTCCTCGGTGTTTGCCATAGAGAGAGCTCTCTCTCTCTCTCCGTCTTTTTATGAGGCTACAGTCCTATAGAATTAGGGTGCCACCCTTATGACTCCTGTAGCCTTAGTTATCTGCCAAGAACCCTATCTTCAGATACAATCACACTGAGGATTAGGGCTTCAACGTATGAGTTTGCCAGGGGAGGACACAATTCAGTTCATAGTAACCTGCAAGGAGACATATCAGGGGCACATTCTTGTCACACGGCCAAACTTCCATTGCAAAATGACTACATTACAATGGATCTTTATATGAGTGTCTAGCACATTGTTGCAATTATTCGATGAACTATCATTTTGAATTTGTTCAGCTGCACTTGTGGAAGAGGAGGGGTAGGAGATGAAAAAGAAGAAGAAGAGCATCGATTGTGTACTCACTCTGTATCAAGCACTGTTCTAAGTACTTTTGCATGCATCACTACTTCGTCCAGTTTTTATGATAACCCTTTGAGGTAGATATTTTGTTTTACAGATGAGGAAACAGAGGCCCCAAGAAGTTAAATAACTTGCTTAAGATCACAGAGCTAATGAGTGGCAGAACAATTATTCTAGCTCTGATTTTAAGGGATTTACTTAACTTTTACTTGGAATTCATGGAGTCATTGGGCTTTATTTAATAAGTATCTCATCATATTCTAGTTATATCATCTCCTATAAGTGTTCAAAATTTGACAAAATTCAGATCAAAGGTGTTTTGGGGGCATTTTGGTGTCAGAAGCCATGAGGCCATTAAAACTCATGAGGGCTGCTTTAGTTTCCTAGGGCTGCCATAATAAAGGAGCACAAACTAGAAAGCTGTACATCTGAAATCAAGGTGTAAGCAGAGCCGTGTTTCCTCTGAAACCTGTAGGGGAATCCTTCCTCTCTTCTTAGCTTCTGGTGGTTTTATAGCAAGCTTTGACACGTAGTGAAATCTGACACAAATTAAGTACATAAGAAGCTGTTCCTTGGTTTTCAGCTGCATAACTCCAGTCTCTGTCTTCATCATTGCATGGTCTTCTCCTTGTGTGTTTCTGTCTTCACATGGCCATCTTCTAATAAGGCCACCAGTCATATTGGATCAGAGGCCTACCCTACTCCAGTATGACCTCATTTTTATTTAACTAATTATATCTGCAATGATCCTATTTCCAAATAAGGTCACATTCTGAGATACTGGGGGTTAGGAAGATATGTTGAAGAGCATGTCTTTTTTTTCGGTGGGGGTTGGGGAGGATACAATTCAACCCAGAATTCCAGACAGGGGCTTTGTGGATAGAGTTTATAATCTTAAGGAAGCACATCCCTTATTTCATCTCCCCTTTTCCCAATCCTAACATCCACAGAAAATTTCCTGCCAGCAGTTCCTTCCTTGGGTTTAAGGATTCCCCAATGCCAGATGTTAAGTCTGCTAGGAAATCTGTAGACCACAGGGAAGAAAATGCAAAAAGAAAATAAAGTCCTCAAATGCAGCTAAAAATTGCTAGCTTCTATTTTTAAAATAAAGCAACATAATACTTTTTCTTCCAATTTATCTACCTTCAAAAGTCCCAACAAATGTTGTTCGTAGTACTGAAATCTATCATTTCCCTTTATTTTTTCCATTCTTCAAATTGAGCTATTAAGTCAAATGCTAATTACATGAAACATTGTTCTCTGTTAATAAACGTTTTGAGAAGTTCTGCCGCCTCAAATAAACAACTAAAACATTAAGTCAGTGTGGCATTTCAGTTGAATAGGGAAAAACTAGATTACTTAATAAATGGTACAGCAATATTTGGCTAACCATTTGGGAAAAAATAAAATTAGATGCCTACTTCACAAATTAAATTTCAGATTTGTTAAAGATTTATATATAATTAAATTAAAGACAGATCCTTAAAATTCAATAAAATTTTAAAAATTGCAAAATAAAATATGTGGCTATTTAGTGTATTTGGGTATTGGGAAGTCTTTTGACTAGTTATAAACACTAAGATATAATCTACAAAGAGATAAATCAACTTACAAAAAACTTAAAACTTCATGGATATATAGAAAGCAGCACTATAACATGGAAAAAGGAAAGATGCATACAGTATATGACAAATAATATGTTTATATTATGCATATAAAAACACTTACAAATAATTTGCAAATTAATGTTCCAACAGAAAAATGAGAAATAATTTTAAAAGGCAATTCACAAAAGAAGAAATACAAATAACCATTAAACATATGAAAAGATGTTTCTTTTTACTTAAAAAACAAATAGGATCTTTCAGGCCTCTTTCAGTTCTAACACACTGTGATTCTGAATACAAAGGTTTCAGTTGGAACATTTTTGCATAGATTTGCCCTTGAACTGATCCTCCAGTGCAAAATACTTTAATTGCTAACGTAAAGTTTCATAAAAGCACATAAATCTCATTTATTATAGTTCTAATATGAAAATCTGGATCTCTTTAGAACCAGCTTTATTAGGATCTCTTGGCTGCATATGTCAGAATCTCAACTCAAACTCTCTTATGAAAAAAATTCAGCAGATGTCTACCACCTCCACACATTCCTACATCCTTAATCTCCCTGTGTTTTAAAACTCTAAATGAGTTCTCTTAGAAATATAAAGGCAAAGACACCTCATTCTTCTCTCTTGCTGAGTGGAGAAGAATTAAATTCTCATACTTATAAGTCGAACAGCTTTAAGTAGAATAGACATGGAGGGCCAGCTAACCTCTCCAGCGACTTCCTAGTAATTTAACTTTTCAGTTCCAGAAGTTTCTAGAAGAAAACCCCATTCCTGGCTTAACTCAGCCTATAACCTGAGCCTCTAGTTGCAGCTCACTGAAGCACCATAAGAATAGCAACCATGTGTTTAGAACAGCAACCATACGACAGCAACCATGTGTCATGGCTTATTCTCATCAAGCCTCCAGGTTGTAGGGAGCTTCGGTGATTATATTTTTGTTTAACAGCCCTCTCACCCACCCTCCTCTTGGGTTCCTTGGGTAATCACTCCCTCTCTTTCCATGTGGTCCAGGCAAACCTGTCAATCACAACATCTTCACCACCTTCCCCTTGCCAAAGGCTTACAACCCAAGCCAGACAATCAGAATGTTCCTAGGGTTGGATTAATTGTTGTTAGGAGAAAGGCACTTTTAGCCATGGAGCAGGCAAACTCAGGATGAGAAGCTGGGCTACTGGTGGCCAAAGAAAGTGATTTCTCACAGGAGAAGTTGAGGAAAGAAACAGGGAGGCAGGGCCAGAGATGATGAGGGAGACAGAGAACTCCGTAAACAGGAGTACCGAAGTTTGTTGTAGCCCCGGACTTCCCAGATGTGTAAGACAATAAATTCTCTTTTTGCTTACTAGCTTGAATTGGGTTTCTGTCATTTAAAACCTAATGGCTCCAACTTGTGGGCACTTCTGACTTACAGGGCAGCTCCCACAGACCTCAGTAGCTTTACCAGTCTTCCTTGTCTTGTGAGCTACCATCTTCTACTCTTTTGGGAGTGTGCGTGCATGCTTCGGATTATCAAATGATTTCAATGACAACAAAGAACTGATTGTAGTTTTGTTCTTCCAAAAATTCATCTTTCACTTCCAAAGAAGTGAGATGTATTTTACACACACACACACACACGCACACACGCACACACACACTGCATTTCTGTTGGGTCCACTGATTCATGAATTTACCCTGACACTAAACATTCCTTTCCATTCTAGTTTTCAATACAGAGCCAGTTTCAGCAAGCTTAGAATAGCAGGTTCTTTGCTGAAAAAAATATTTTGTTTCAGGCAAGTTCTGTCAGTTGATGATTGCTATATTACAAATTACCCCCAAGCTTACCAATTTTTTTTTTTTTTGAGACGGAGTCTCGCTCTGTCGCCCAGGCTGGAGCACAGTGGTGTGATCTCGGCTCACTGCAAGCTCCGCCTCCCAGGTTCACACCATTCTCCTGCCTCAGCCTCCCGAGTAGCTGGGACTACAGGTGCCCGCCACCACGCCCAGCTAATTTTTTGTATTTTTAGTAGAGATGGGGTTTCACCATGTTATCCAGGATGGTCTCGATCTCCTGACCTCGTGATCCACCCGCCTTGGCCTCCCAAAGTGCTGGGATTACAGGCGTGAGCCACCGCGCCCAGCCAAGCTTACCAATTTTTTTAAAAAACAAATGTCATCTCACAGTTTCTGTGAGTCAGGAGTCCAGGAGCTTCTTAGCTGGGTGGTTCTGCCTCAGAATCTCTTACAAGACTTCAGTCAAGGTGTTTGCCAGGGCTGTAGTCATCTGCAGCCTCAACTGGGGAAGGATTTGCTTCTGCACTCACTGCCACGGCTGCCAGCAGTCCTCAGTTCCTCACTACGTGGGCCTCTCCACAGGCTGCCTCACGGCATGGCAGCTGGCTTCTCCGAGTGAGGAGTTTAAGAGTGAAAAAGTGAGCACGCACCTCCCAAGACAGAAGCCACAGTCTTTCAATAACCTAATCTCAAAAGTGACATTTCATCCTTTCTGCCAGATCTATCTGAGTCCTTATGTCCAGCCCACACTAAGAAAAGGGGAATGTAGCTCCATCTCTTTGGGAGAGAAGCATCAAATAACTTGTGAATATATCTTTAAAAATCACCTTACAAGTGGTGGCGCTCGCTTCCCCAAAGAGAATCTGAGTTCTTTCTAAAATACCAATCCTTTGTTAAAATGAGATGGAGAGTAGATGAGGGAATGCAGCGGCAATAGGGAAGACAACTATTCCAGGCAGAAGAGAAATGCTGTATCATCCACACACATTCCTCAACATACCTAAAGCTACCTTTAATGGTTTTAAGTAAGAAAATGGCTGAGGGATTTAAAAATCTTTACTGGGAATTAGAAAGCCCCTAGCAATACAACTCAGTAAACTGGCATTAAGATACAGCCATGCGATTATCGTGGATGGGAAAACGGCAAGATTGTAACAATCTGCAAGCATGTTGATTGATCAGAGTTGCAAAGTACTATCAGCTGGCCGATGGCATACACAAAGTGCAGAGGAGCTCTCAACTCTGTAAGAAGAACAATGCCGGAGGAGTAGAATAGCTATCCTTAGCCCAGGTGCTCACTGCCCCTGTCACGTATGCTCATGCCACACCTGAGATACCGGGAGGGCAGCGTCTTGTCCTATGTCCTCCCATTACTTTCATTCCCAAAGTATTTCTGCCTATAGAGCTCTTCCGGCCTCTAAACTCCTTCCAGCTGTGTCCAACCTTTTCAATGCAAGGACTATTTTGCTTATCTGTGGTGGTGGATATCATGAAAACTATGCATGGACCTTTTTTTTTTTTTTTTTTTTTTTTTAGGTCATCAGCTATTGTTAGTGTTAGTGTATTTTATGTGTGGCCCAAGACAATTCTTCTTCCAATGTGGCCCAGTGCAGCCAAAAGGTTGGACACGCCTGCAATACTTAGTAATGTATATCATTCATGTGGTGATAAATATATTCAGACGAAGAATAATTCTTTTTTTAAAATGTAAAATCACAATTATTTGATGTTTTTCATTTGTGAATGCCTTTTACACGTAGTCCCTACATTTAGGTGCTTTGGATGCATGACTTTTCACTAGACCAGTGGTTCTCAACCTTGGCTGCACATTAGAATCACCTGGAAGTTTCTTTCCATTCCAAGATTCAACACAGAAATTAATAGAATACTGAATCAATTTCAATGAACTAAGAGTGACAATTTTTACTAAAAAATATTTACTTAGCAAGAAGCCAAGATTGACTGTTGTTTTAGAGTCTTTCTACTCGAAGTGTGGCCTATGGACCAACAGCATTCTTATCAGATGATAAGTGAGCTGGGAGCTTGTGAGAAATGCAGAATCCCAGGCCCCACATCCAAATTATAATTTGCATTTTAACAAGATTCCTGGGTGATTCATACGCCCATTAAAATTTGAGAAGCACTCATTTAGACTTTCCCATTACCCTTCTCTTTATCACTCTGAATATTCTCCAACTTCCTATCTAGTGACCACAGAGGGTACTGACAGATTACAGCTTCAAAGCATAACCAGGATCAATAGAATACATTCATTCTTTCATTCCAGAAAAATCTATTTAGATGTAGGGCCAGTGCCTATGCTTGTGCAGACTGTGCACCACATCTGGGAAGTACTATTCACAATGTAGAAATTTTACATTTGGATTTTATTGCTACACCATTTTCTAGCAGACGGCAGTACAGTGTCTTGCAACAAAATCAATACACATAAGCTTTGGCTGAATGGAAGTTAAGTGCTTGAGGAAGGAATGTCTTTTTTCTATTCAATGGCCTATAGGCTAGATGTCACCTTAATGGGAGCCAGGACCTGGCGACACAGCAGCAAACCAGAGAGGCCAAATTATTAACTATTTCCCATTTAATACAATTTGTTTATTAGTTTTTATGCAAAATTATGGTATGGTAGTTTTTAAAAATTCAACGTATGTGGCATATTTTCCTTCCATTGCATACGATATAGCCTACAATTTTAATGTTTAATATACAAAACACAGCTTGTGTTTTTTTCCCTTCACAAAGTTTATAACAAATCTTGGAGCACAATCTGTAATTACAATACATCGTATGCAGAAATTCCAGCCACTTTCGAGCTTTATACTTTATGGTGTAGTTTCCAAGTACACGTTATAGCAGAAGTGAAAGAAAAACTCTATTTTTCTGAATATTCTATAATTCCTGTCATCAAGTGCCTTGGATGTGGACATTAGAGATCAGTCAATATTTGTTTTAAAACAGTATTTTCAACTTCTTTTATATACTTTTCTGTCTCTCTCTCTCTCTCTTTCTTTTTTTCCCTAATGGAATGCTCTGTCCTGCTTGCCAGTTTTGGTGCAGAGAAGCCAACAAAGATTTATAAATAGGGATGCTCATGACATCATGATTTATGACAGGTAAAAACAGGAAGCATTTTAGATTTCAAACAAAAGGTAGTTGATCAAATATATCACTACACATCCAAGTAACTAAATAGCACATTTATTAAAAACGATGAGTCTAAAGAATAATTAATATCATAGGGAAAACATTTATGTAAAATGTTAAGCAAAAAGTTTTAAGAGGTTAAAAGGAAAAAAAAAATCAGGGTGCAAAACCACATACATAGTGTAATCTGAATGTCCCTGGCTCCTTGCTACTTAGCTAGTCTACGGACTAGCATCATAGCATCACCAGGAGCTTGTTGGAAATGCAAGATTTTAGGCTCCACCCTAAAACCCACTGAATCGGAATCTTCAGGTGATTCTTAGGCACTCGAAAGTCTGAGAAGTATCACCCAGGCCGTATCAACTTCGGGGAACAGTGGTCAGTTTACTTCTACAATTTGAACCAAAGTTCATTAGCTCATTAGCACCGACCTACCTAATGCAGGACCACAGTCCCCCTCCAAGACACATCCAGTGTCTTAGGCAGGTATCTATAAGTATAAACTCAGGCACTGGGGTGGTGGCCTTACCTGTCTCTCAAAATCCCCAAGGGGGAAATGCTGTTTGATACAAATGATTATTTGAAAATTATGTCAAAGAAAGGGGGATCTATTTCTTTTGCCCTGGCAATCCCTCATTAAATATGCCTTTTATGTCATCTCTGCCCATTCGTTTTCCTTTCGGCTTCCTCCTATCCCTCACACATGCCTCTCCTCTCTTACCTGAGAATCCTGAGAGAGTCGAGGAGGAAACCTGGTATTCCAGAGTTAGGAGAAACGACTGTGCCCTCATGTACCATGATGGATACTATCACAGAAAGCAACATGCATGCTCTCCCACCATCCACACTGGGACGTGAGCATCACTATCCCTTTATCATCCCAATGGCCACTTTGCTGCAGCACCAACCTTGCTGATGTGACCCATTCTGGTCCACTGCTGGTTAAAAACTCCCCTCTGACCACTGCCCACATGGTTGGATCAGTCCACCGTGGACCCAAGATGTGACTCTCACTGCTTTACACTGCCATGTGGGACTCTATAAGGTCACTACTCTCCTGATAGGCATGTGGGATCTGCAGTGTGGGATCCCCCATGCCTACCGAGAAGGAGAAATGGGGGAGGATATAGGTTTAAGTAGAAATTAGACAAGGGATTGGGACTAGAGAACATTTCTCCTGAGAGTTTTCAAGGAAAATGACTTGCCTGGTTATGTTCAAGCATAAAGTATATAATACAATAGAAAACAGAGTAATAGGAGTTAGGAAACGTAGTGTCTTGTCTTGGTTCTTTGTGTGACCTTGGGGAAGTCATTTTCAGATGCTTATTTTTCCCCTTTTGGAATGCTGGGTAAAAATAATTGCACAGTCCATCTCCCAATTCTGGTTAAGTTCAAATGAGATGATGTTTGGAAATGAGCTTTGAAATCCCTTAGGTGTAGCATTAGCACCATTAATATGCAGCACCATGGTAAGAAAAAAAGACAGTCTGTTCTTTAAATTGGCCTCAAGAAAATTTCACACCTGGATATCTGGTGGAACCTGCAAATTGGTGTTGTATATTTTAAAGTCAAGAGTAACCTTGGAGACTGGTCTAGATTGAAAATCAACAGTACATTGGAGAGTGATACACAGCTCCTAGCTGGTAGGGGAAATTGAGGGCATCCAGAGTGAATAAAGTGTTTATTGCGGTGGAGTGAGCAGGGGGGAGTAGCATTATGTTCTAAAAACATTCAATAAAAGAATAGCCACCTTCCGTTTTCTCAAACATCTATGCAGGTGCTTAGATCCCAAATATGGAAGATTTTGCATTTCACAAGGTATCTTTCATTCTACATAGATTTGTAGCAAAATAAAAATCATTATACATTTTAATGGCTTTGTTGATTTGGTTAAATTAGCTGAAGGCATTGTTGACTGCACATAAAATCCATTTCTCAAAGTTCTTTAGCTTTTTGACCCTTTCATCAATTCTTCTTCAGTTCTGTCATCATTCTTTCCCTCCTCTTTCAATTTCCTATCTAAAATGTTCCAAAATAATTATAAAAGTCAGAGAGGCATGATGAACCTTTTTATTGGAAAGAGATGAACCTTCCAAACTCATTCTCAGCTCATCATCACAGCATTTGGAATATGGAGTAAAAATTCATATTTTGCAAGTGCCTTGGTGCTTAAGCATGCAGAACAGATGTTTCATTTCACAAGTTTTCCCAATTTATTACACATAATATCTCTATTTCTGTGAGACAAACACTGCTTTGGGGAATAGGCCTCTCCATTTCCTCCAGCAAGCTAAGGCATGGAAATGGACTGTTGAGTCACCTTCTAGTCACCTCAGGAGAGGAGATTTTTCAAATGCTGTTTGTTTATTTTCATGCAAGGTCATCAAGGGGAAATAGTCACAGTCCCATACTCCTTACCAAAGGCCGTCACTTCTGCACATGGCATTTCTCTACCTGAAATGCATTCAATTAAATGCACTCATCCTTGCTAGGCCTGGCTTGATTTCACATCTGTGACGGATTCCTTGATGAACTCGACACCGAGTGGTTTCTTCCAATAGCTAAATAATACCTGATGATGACATTATTTTCATCATTACCATTAGCAACTTAGGAGGGAGAAAGGTGGTGTTGGGCAGGGAAGTCACACTAACCTCACCTTTCCCTGTTGCACTCTAAATTCCGAGGGCGGGGTGGCTTGCACAGTGCCTTTCATATGATTGGTGTTTTAAAAACATTGCTTGGTTGATTACATAGGATAGTATTGCTGCTTTGGTAGCCTAACTTTGCTCCTACACTACGGCCAGAAGAGAGGGTGAAGAAGAAATAAGAAAATAAAAATCAATCCTAAAGAAAGTGGTAAGGAGCAAAATAGGAGTTATCGGGGAAGCACAAAAACCTGAAGCAGATAACCCTCAGGCGTGAAGGCCTATTTCTCTCCTGGTTTACACACGCACCCACCTCCGTTTCTCTCCTACTTCTCCGCCACCCCACCTCAACCAGGAGGCAATTCCCCAACCAACCCTGAATATGTCTTCTAATTTCATGTACTCAATAATACCCAAACCATTTAATCTCAGTCACTGCTGGTGGGAGCGGCAATTGACACGACCTTGAAGGGAAAGCAACTTGGCAGCAGATATCAAGAGTTCTAAAAAACATTTATACTCATCTTCTCCATAATTCCACTTCTGAGCTGTATCCTAATTTTTAAAATCTTAAATATGTACAAAGATTTATGCCCCCAGAGTTTCCAATACAGGTTTATTTATACAGAGATAGGAACAGTGCAGCAGTCTAGCATCAGAAGGAGTGGCTAAATTATGGGATGAGTCTCTCACTGGAATTTTTCTAAAGTTATTTTAAATTATGTCTTAAAGGCATTTAAAGCTTATTTTATTTTTAAATGTTTTTAAATTAGCATGCAATAAAATTGACCTTTGTCTACACAGTTCTATGAATTTCAGCACTCACATAGGGTCAGGACCGAGTTTCCTCTCACAAGACTCCTAGCCCCACCTTGAAATCACCGGACGCGCTTCGTTGTCCAGGAGCCTTCTCGAAGCGGCGGGACGTCTCCGGAGGTTGGGTGGCCCGGTCAGTCCGCGGCACACAAGGACCTCTAGGGGGCAGTGTTGTCTCACACCACATGTTCCTCTACCGGGCTTTAACACACACCCTTAAACTCTAACCCAGCCAAAGCACTATTGCGTCTGTATTTTCCAAATACTTTACAATGAGTATGCACTACTATTACAATCAGAAAAAAAATATTAGATTACTAATAAGCTATTGAAACTGGGGGAGATAGCAATATAAAAATACCCACTCATGGAAGACACTGCTTAAAATAGAGAACTAGCCTCTGTTCATAGTCTGGTTTCAAAGCCCAAAGTTACGTTTCCTTTTGTTAGATTGCTAGATGATATGGCTCTGGACTTTAATTCTCCATGTTTAAAATAGCATTTCTGTATTTAAAATAGCATTTCAATAGCACTTTTAAAACTTCTAAAATCATTTCTGTAATACTCTTTTTTCAGTGAGAAATAGAACAATGCTTCTTCCCTCTCTATTTTAGAGATAGCAAAGCGCTAAAGAGATGAATTTGTGTTAGAACATCTATATATTAATTCAGAATATCCTAATAAGCAAAAGGATATTGCTAACAATTTGTATGCAGCAAGGCATAAGTTTTGGAGTCTTCTCAATTTAGCTATTCCACTTATGCTAGTTCACCCACTCCCTTCCTGTGACGGGTTCCCTAGTGATGAATGGGGCATGTAGATTATCAGATGAGTGGACAGGAAGGAAGACAGTCTAGAGTGGAAGATAAAGATAACCAACCCATGATGGAACCAACTCAGAAATCAACCCCACCAAGAGAAAACTTTATTCATGCACTGAATATTTATGGAACACCTTTCACTTGCCAAGCACTGTTCCAGGTGCTGGGGATATAGCAGAAAACTGCACGTCAAAATTGCTGCTCTCATAAAGTTCACATTCTGGGACTCTAACCCAGCCAAAGCACTATTGCGTCTGTATTTTCCAAATACTTTACAATGAGTATGCACTACTATTACAATCAGAAAAAAATATTAGATTACTAACAAGCTATTGAAAGTGTCTCCCACTGGGTGGGAGACAGCTAGGAAAAAGAAATAAAGAGGAAAAATATCCTCTTGAAAGTTAAAATAGGATAGAGACGGATTGGTGGGGGCTACTTTAGACTGCGGAGTCACAGAGGACCTCTTTGAGGAAGTGGTAATTTAAGATGAGATCAGAATAACATATCCAGCCTTGAGAAGACAAGGGGGTGGAGGGAGTGTTCCAGGGAAAGGAGACACCTTATACAAAGGCTGGAACAAATTGAATGGGTTCAGAAAACAAAAGGAAGGCCCAGAGTGACTGGAGCGTGGCATTTAGGGATGAAGGTCAAGTCAGAAAAGTATGTAAGAGTCTGGTCAAGTAACAGTCTCGTAGGCCAAGGTAAGGAATTTGGGTTTTATTTTACTGCAGTGAGAGATATAGGAGATTTCACACAGAGGCGTGAAATGGTCTGATATAGGTTTCTAAGAACCATTCTGATGGCCATTAGAAAGTGCAAGTTTGGGAATATGGCGATCACTGAGAAAGCTATGGGACCGTGCATGGTAGATCATGCCTGTAATCTCAGCACTTCGGAAGGCCAAGGCAGGAGGATTGCTTGAGGCCAGGAGTTCAAGACCAGCCTGGGCAACACAGTGAGACCTCATCGCTACAAAAAATAAAAACATAAGCCAAGTGTGGTGGCATGTGCCTGTAGTCCCAGCTACTCAGGAGGTTAAGGCAGGAGGATTGCTTGAGCCCAGGAGTTCAAGACTGCAGTGAGCTATGATTGCACCACTGCACTCCAGCCAGAGCAGCAGAGTGAGACCATGTCTCATATAAAATAAAATAATAAAATTCAAATAATAAAATAAAACAGAAAGCTATCACAATAACTGAGGTCAGGTGTGATGAAGTGTGGACCAGGATTATGGCGGTAGAGATGGAAGGTAGCTCACAGAGTCATGACATCTTTTGGAGAAGGAGCTGTTGGAATTAGCTGTATTATTAGATGTACATGGTTGGGGGGAGATGAATCAAAGCACGATTCCTAGCTTTTTAGTTTGAACAACTGAAAGGATGGTAGCTCCATTTCCGGAGATGAGAGGACTGAGGAGATCATGATCCGGGGGGAATATTTGGTCTTTAACATGTGAGCCCATTGGACGAGCATTTGGGTAACTTCAGTCTTACTCCTCAGCAGCTGCTGTTGGCAGGGTGTGGTCAGGTAGGCTGGCACTGTGTCTGAGCAAGCCAGCTCTGGTCTGATAACAGAGTTTTATCTGGAAGGGGAAACCCAGGGCTGGGCTTACGATCTAAGGTCAGCAGCCTGTCACACCAAGAAATAAACATCTGTTAAGGCAATTGGTACATAAGCACTCAGAAAGTGTAGCTTGTCAAAGTGGCTTAATTCCAACTAGGTTGTTATTACTCAGTTGACACCTCTTGGGAGAGTTTTTTGATATTTTCTTTAACTCTTTAGTGTTATACTTTATGTATATTCACATGAATTGAAAACAGGTTCAGTTAAAAGGGTAATTAAAAATATAAAACATTTTTTAAAAAAGAAAACAGGGCCAGGCACGGTGGCTCACGCCTGTAATCCCAGCACTTTGGGAGGCCGAGGTGGGCACATCATGAGGTCAGGAGATCGAGACCATCCTGGCTAACACGGTGAAACCTCGTCTCTACTAAAAATACAAAAAATTAGCTAGGCGTGATGGTGGGTGCCTATAGTTGCAGCTACTCGGGAGGCTGAGGCAGGAGAATGGCATGAACCCAGGAGGAGGAAGGAGCTTGCAGTGAGCCGAGATGGCGCCACTGCACTCCAGCCTGGGCGACAGAGTGAGACACTGTCTCAAAAAAAAAAAAAAAAGAAAACAGGTACATGATGTAGACTCTACATTTTAATGTAATGTTTCATTAATTGTAATGAAACATTACAATGTTTCAACATCCTTGAAATTTAAATAAGGGAAGCTTTGGGTTTCCATAAAGAGAACACTTATACTTAAACACAAGAAGGCTGAGACAAAGGTTAAAAAATGGTAAAGCTGTAAAGGGCTGTTAAAAGCATAATGCTGTATTTTTCATCCCCCAAATCTTAAAATGTAAAAAAATGGCTTTAGCTTTTGACTCCAAAGCTGGAGATTAATTTTTTAATTTTTAATTTTTGTGGGTACATAGTAGATGTATATATTTATGGGGTACATGTAATATTTTGATACAGGCATGTAATGCATAATAATCACATCAGGGCAAAAGGGGTATCCATCACCTCAAGCATTTATTTTTTGTGTTACAAACAACCCAAGTATACTCTTTTAATTATTTAAAAATGTACAATAAAATTATTTTTGACTATAGTCACTCTGTTGTGCTAGCAAATACTATATCTTATTCATCCTTTCTAACTATTGTTTGTACTCATCAACCACACCCACGTACCCCCGACTCTTCTCCTACTCTTCCTAGCCTCTGGTAACCATCCTTCTAACTCTCTATCTCTATGAGTTCAATTGTTTTAATTTTTAGCTCCCACAGATAAGTGAGAACATGCGACGTTTGTCTTTCTGTGTCTGGTTTAGTTCACTTAACATAATGATCTCCAGTTCCATCCATGTTGTTGCAAATGATAGGATCTCATTCTTTTTTATGGCTGAATAGTACTCCACTGTGTATTTACAACCTTTCCTTTGTCCATTTATCTGTTGATGGACACTTAGGTTGCTTCCAAATCTTGGCTATTGTGAATAGTGCTGCAATAAACATGGGCGTGCAAAACTGGAGAATTTTGAAGTAATACATTTACTCCTACAGAGATCCTGAATAATCATAGTTCTTGATTACACCCACCTCCTCTTCATTATTTTAAGTATTTTTGTTAATTACTAAGTTGATCCTTCTAGTAAAAAGGCTGCCACAACTTCGTTTCCTTTGGAGGACTGAGACCTTCCCACCTTAGCAAGAGCTTTCCATGTTGAGGTTTGCAGTGAGAGTCACATTACCCAGAGAACTGAGGGGACTGCAGTTATGCCCTTGCAGATACGGGAACACGAGGGCTGAATTAATGAGCCAGAGCCATAGACAATACTGCCAAAAAGTCCCAAGTTCCCCCGAGCAAATACCCAGGAAGGATTTGTCTGGATATCACCTTCACCTCCTACTTAGAACAGGGTTGCCCTGAAAGTCCCTCCACCCATCGCAGGAGAAGACCTTGGAGAGTGGCTAGCAGAATTCAGGCAAATTCTTTGTTTCTGCATTCTATTTGAGCAGCCTGGCCACAGGCCAAGGAAAACTCTCTTGGAGAATAGACATTACCTGTGGAGAATGATTTGAGAAACTCTGATCCAGGAATATCCAACACTACAGTGGCCTCCTGGGGTCCCTACTAACCGGTCCCCTATTAATCTCCCTGCCCTGATTTCCTACCATCCTCTCCCTCACTCACTCTGCTCCAGCCACTCTGGCCTTCCTCAAAAACAGACAGACTTCTACCTTGAGGCTTTTACATTTGCCTAGAACACTCTCTAGCTTGCTCGTTTACCTGCGTCATGTCTTGGCTTTCATGCCACTGTTTGAACAAGGCCCACCCTTATTAACCCCAATCAATATTGCAAACTTCCCCTTCACCACTCACCCTCACCACCCTCATTATTCAGCTCTTTTTTTAAAAAGGTACCTATTATGTTCTAATACATATCACTGGGGTATGTTTTATATTTATTGTATATTGTCTATCTCCTCCCACTAGAACACAGCTCCACAAAGGGTGAAATGTTTGCCTGTTTCTTGGTTGACTGCTGTTACCCCTGGGCCTGCATCAGCACCTGGCGTATAGTAGACTCTCAAGAACAGCTGTCGATTAAATGACTGAATATAGCACATCTGGGAAAACAAAGGCTTGATTTGGTCCCTGTTTTCAACACTAGCTCTCCCTCCCCCAGGACTGGTCCTCTCCTAGCACTGCCAGCCTCTGCCAGTCCTTAGTGGGACATGACCTGCCCTTGCCCACACACCTACTCGATCCTCACTCAGTAGTCAGCATCCATATCCCACTGTGACTGACCCAGGCACACAGTGCCAGCAGCTCGTCCAAACTGGAAACTCTTCAAGTCTCAAAGTCTTTTATCAGTCTATTACTTGTCCCTGCATTCTCTCTTCTGTCCCCCTCACTGTAGACCTTCAGACACTCACCAATTTCCTGTTCCCTCTCTCAGTCCCTGGGAAGACCGGCAGTGGGGTAGGACGCCAATCTCCCCAGCTGCTCTTCCAGGCTCCCCTGCCAGAGGAGGCCTTTGGTCTGTGATTTTTCTGCCAATTATTAGAAAGAAATAGGCCTGGGATAATAAAAACAACCAAGGAGGAAT
Organism: Homo sapiens; assembly: GCF_000001405.40. Lineage (NCBI taxonomy): Eukaryota > Metazoa > Chordata > Mammalia > Primates > Hominidae > Homo > Homo sapiens. The sequence goes on from NC_000010.11 coordinate 87,307,014, forward strand.
TTAAAAGGTTATGAAATCTTTTAAAATTCTGTTTTCTCAATTGTATTTTCTCATTTGTACTTCTCGGCTCTTTTTTGAGACGTTTACATAGAATCATCATCTTTCCTTATATACTCCCTTTTGGAGGAAAAAGTACTTTCAGAGTTTCTCAATTATGTCAAATAACAGAAAACATTTATTGAACAATTACTATGTGCTCAGCACCATAATGCATTTCTATGAAAATGAGCTCATTTAATCCTCACAACCTCTCGGTGAAGTGGATGCTGTCAATCTTCCCATTTCATGGAGGAAAACTGAGGCCCAGAGAAGTTATATGACTCCCGAGTTTACACAGCTACCTAGTGGAGGACTCTAAGTTACAACTTATCTAATTTGAGAGTTCAAATTTTCAACTGCTATAAAATATCTCTGATACATGAGAGAAGCTGGAAAGTGAGATCATAACCACCAGAAAAATACTACTTGTTAGTGCCTCAGAAGAACTACCACTGGTGTGAGTAGAATTACAACACTGGCAACCCAAAAGAGATACGCATGTCATGTTGTCTGATTTTGGAGACATTCTTAATTTTCAGTGGCAGGTGCCATACATTTATTCATTGAGCAAATGTTTTACTGAGTACCTTTAATGTGACAAAAAGCCTGGCCACTGCAGAAACAGGTGAGCAAAAGCAAACACAGCCCTTGCATTCATACAACATATATTTCTTCTTGAAATCAAGTTCCTGGCACTAGGTATCAATAGACTTGAAAATATGCATAACCAGCTAGGTGCAGTGGCTCACGCTTGTAATCCCAGCACTTTGGGAGGCCAAGGCAGGCAGATCTCTTGAGGTCAGGAGTTTGAGAGACCAGCCTGGCCAACATGGTGAAACTGTGTCTCTACTAAAAGTACAAAAATTAGCCAGGCGAGGTGGCGTGTGCGTGTAATTCCAGTTACCTGGGAGGCTGAAACATGAGAATTGCTTGAACCAGAAAGGCAGAGGTTTCAGTGAACCAAGATCATGCCACTGCATTCCAGTCTGGGTGACAGAGAGACTCCATCTCAAACAAACAAATGAACAAAAAAAAAAAAAACAAGAAAATATATTTAGCCTATAACCAAGAATCTCATTTCTAGAAATAAAAATAATCTGAAACACAAATTAATTATACATATTTATCAGAGCATTATTTGTAATAGCGACAAATTAGAAACAACTCATGTCCAACCAGTCCAACTCAATGATTACCAGTAGGTAAATCATTAGGTAAGTTGTGGTACATCCACATATTGAAATAGTCATTCATAATAATGTTTTCAAAAAGTTTTAATATTATGAACAAATGCTTAAATTATAATGTTAAAAATGAGAAAAGTAAGCTATAAAACAATCTGTTTAGTATGCTTTTTGGTACATAAAATAATATATATGACATTATTTGGATATGTTCGAGTAAGCTATATGATATTAACATTTTTATAGGTCAAAAGGATCAAATATCAACAATTTCATAATGGAAAAAATCTGAAAACAAAAAAGCCAAAATATTAATGGTGATGATTTCTTGGTGGTGGTATCATCAGCAATTTTCACTCTTTTCCTTCTATTTTTGGCATTTTCCAGTTTTCAACAATGTACATATATTTCTAATAAAAACATTATTGGAAAACAAAAAGAGAACAAATGTTCCTCTTTCAGCTACTTTACTAAATCATAATGCTAAATGCAGTCTGACTGAGTACCTATAATCCATCATGCCAGTAACTGCAGCAAATGTAGCAATGGCCTGTAATTCCATTTTATACATACTGCAATAGATATTCAGCCCAGAACGATATTTCAAGACAGCAGTTTCTGAAGCAGGGAGTTGGTTCAGATAAAATAGATGCCAGACTATCAGTGCTTCATAGCCTTAGAGATAGGTTGCTAGGACCTAACTCATAACATTTCCAAGAAAGCTGCATAAACTTCTTATTGATGATCTCAATTACTTCTAAAGCATTTTTGAGAAAAAATATTTTTAGGACCAAAATAAAAGTAGGTTATAAAGTCCTAGCTCTTGAGGACAATGGGGAGAGAAAGATTTTATATGCTGGAAAGAGGGGTTTTTTTTGATAGATTATCTGAAATAACATATCCTTCATTAGTCAGTGCTAATGAATAGTCACATCTGTTTTCATGGAACAATGGAGAATTACATAATTAATAGTTTATTCTTTTCAAAATTTAATATAACTGCTCCTTTTACACTTACTTTTAACTCTGTAAGTTATTCTCTTACTGTCTTTATATGTAATATAGGATACACTTGCCCAAAATCTTGTAGAATACATGAGAATATACATACACTAAAATGTGTATGTACACATATATATGTATACATACACACACACACACACACACACACACACACACACACACACACACTTCACAGTTTAATGAGTGCTTACTATATGCCAAGTACTATGTTGAGACTAGGTATAGACCAGTGAGCAAAACTGACATGTCTCTTACAGCCCAGTAGCAGAGACAGACAAACATGCAAATATATGCAAAATTATTAATTGTGAGAAATCAAATGAAAGCCAAGAATAGGACACTGTAAGAAAGAATTCGGCTGAAGGAGAATTAGACTGGAGAGAACTTGGAATCTGAATCAACATAGGATGATGTCTCTAAGGAGAGGACATTTACACAGGAGAATGAGTGGAAGAAAAAGTCTCCTGGGCTTAAGAAAAGAAGGTCCTGACTCAGTGATAAGGAGTTACCAGTATTAAGAGAAGGTCAGTAGGCCCAGTGTTTTCTTGAGCAAGGTAGAGGGTCATCAAATGGTGTTTGGAAGGGAGGCCTGGGCCATGTGACTCAGAAGTCTACAGGTCCTGTGGAGGATTTATCCTAAGTAGAATAGGAATGTGCTAAAGTATTTGAAACAGGGAATGGCATGACTAGAGAAACATTTTTAAAGCATTATTCTACTGAAGTATTCTACTGGGCTCTAATGGTTCTACTATTGTATTGGGTGAAATTCTGTGATGTCTGGTGTTTGCTTTAATAAATATTCCAGATATAAAGAAAGAAAATGTGGGAGTGCCAAGGGAAATGATAACAGATAAAATAAAACTGTCAAAATATTGAAAGTTGCTAAGACTGGGTGATAAGTACATGGGAATTTGTTATACATCTCCTTGTGTTTTGGGGTATGTTTGAAATTTTTTAAAATAAAAAGCTTTTTTTCAAAAAGATAAAGAGTGAGCTTTGGCTCTGAGATTACCAGTTCAATTCTGCCACTTACTATTAGGTATGTGATTTTAGAAAAGTGATTTTTCTTCTATAATCTTTAGTTTTCACATGTATGGAATAGTGATAATGACAGTACATACCTCATAGGCCTGTTAAATATATTAATGCAATAATAGCAGAGAGTTTGGCTCATAGTAAAAATCTGGGGAATGTTAACTATTATTTTAGAATTAACTCCAGGCATATTTATTGTGTGTATATATATATATATATATATGTGTGTGTGTGTGTGTGTGTGTGTGTGTGTGTGTATATGTGTGTGTGTGTGTGTGTGTGTATATATATATATATATATATATACACACACACACACACACATATATATTTGTTTTGTTCTGTTTTGAGACAGAGTCTCACTCCATCACCCAGGCTGGAGTGCACTGGTGTGATCTCAGCTCACTGCAGCCTCTGCCTCCTGGGTTCAAGCAATTCTCACGCCTCAGCCTCCCAAGTAGCTGGAATTACAGGTGCATGCCACCATGCCTGGTTAATTTTTGTATTTTTAGTAGAGATGGGGGTTTCACCAGGCTGGCCTCGAACTCCTGACCCCAAGTGATTCTCCCTCCTTGGCCTCCCAAAGTGCTGGGGTTACAGGCATGAGCTATCATGCTCTGCATATATATATGTATATGTATTTAAACCATTCTGGTGTCTGTATGGAAAATGGATGGGAGCAATGAATGGTGACGTAAAAGATCAGTTAAGAGCAATTGGTGAGTTCAGCTGAGTAGCACTGGAGCAATGGGGAAGGAGTGACATCGATTAAGGAGCCGCTGGAAAATGGATGGTGCTGAAAGCCCTGCAAAAAACCAAGATCTCCTGAGATAGTTCCCAGGGGTTCTTGACTCCTCCAACTTTTTTTTTTTTTTTTTTTTTTTTTTGCCATGGACTCCTTTGGCAGTGATAAAGCCTATAGGCTCCTTCTCAGAATGATGTTTTAAGATGCATAAAATAAAAGGCATAGGATAACACAGAAAATTATCTTGAAATACAGTTACTAAAATGTTTAAAAAGTAATTTTCGATATAGTAAAAAGTTTTTTAATAATGTATTAAGTAACTAGATGCATATATATTTCAAGCTATCTAAGTATAATGTGACATAAAAATATTGATTCTTTGTATTAGTAACTGTCACAGTTCAGTTTCCCCAGAAAGCAGAATCTAAGCTGGAGATTGGCATTTGGGGAGTTTGCTAGGGAACGCTCTTGACATCAACATGAGGGAAGGCAAGGTGGAACTGGTCAGAGAAGGATGACATTGAGCTGTGATGAAGTCTGAGAGGAAGCTTCAGCCAACCTTACAGAAGGTCTGAAGATTATATGACCCTTCAGAAGTGCCCTGAATCAAAGAGGGCCAGGTGTTTATTACCCAGCTGAGGTGGCTCTCTGCAACTGAGGCCATTTCCCTGGGGCTGCCAGCTGAGGGCACTCTGCCAACAGCTTTCATAGTAGCTGGGGTAAGTCCTCATTTCTGAAAGAAGATCTAGGTGTAACATTATAACATCAATCACAGTGACAAATTTATAGGTTCTGCAAGTTCCACTGTGGCTTGCTGCCTACATTCACAGTTGAAGAAAAGACTGAATTTCGGTTAGAGATTAGTGGAAATGAAAATGTAATTTTAAAATCCTATCCAAATTCACAAACCCCACATGGACCCCAGGTTAAGAATACTTGTGAGTGAGAATGGGGCCCCATATTCAGAGAGGCTGGTCAGGCTCTGTTGTTTGCTGGAACACAGTAAGCTGTCTTCTGCTGTAGGGAAAAATGAGCAGATTGAACCTAAGCATTAAAATAAAAAAATGAGCAGGGAAAGTGTGTTTTCCAGAGCAAGAATGATGCCCAGGAACAAAGCAAGTCAGACAGGATAGAGTCCACAGTACCAGAGAAAAGACACAGATTGATGTGCAGCTGCCTGAGTCTACTTTTGAATTACAGATTTTAATCCTTCATGAAACCAAACAATACCTCCAGTTCTTGGTGTAGAAACACTCCTATGTCTTTATAATGTTATTTTCTCATGTAAGCTAGTTTAAGTAGGTTTCTGCTGCTTACAAGCTGACGTATCTTGTTGAATACAGAGATACTTTAAAACTCCTCCCTTAACACACACATACACAGAAATTCTTGAAATTTGCAGGAGTTTGGGGTGAGGAGCATCTAGCAAGGAACATGGAGTTGGGAATGGTTGAAGCATTGCTGCTGGGATCTATTAAGGCTCTGAGCTCTCCATGAAAGTATTGGCTTTCTCTTTGATGGCCTTTGCTGTATTGGATAACTCACCTACAAAAATGACTTATTTTTAATGTAGAACTGTGATAAACTTCAACATTTTGATGATTATCATGCTTTAAAATGAGAATAAAGATAGCTATTATATTTTTTAATTTGACAGAGTAGTGCAGGCAATAATGAAATGGTATTCATCTGAATAGCAATCTTTATTTTTAAAATCCAAAGGCACTCAATAATGTGATCTGTGCACTTTGCTATTATGATATATAGCATATAAAATGTTAAGCACGTCTAACATTTAATTCATTTCAATCATACCAGTCTGTCAAGATATAATAAATCAACAAAACCAACAACTCCCTCCCAAACATTAATTACCTAGTGAACTACTCTTAGCTTTTTTATTTAGTCATGAAATTTGAAAATTACCTCTGAATTAGCATAGCTATTCACACATTATTTTCCCCAACAACAAAAGAAATGCCACTGTAACAGCTGCTTCGTACTTTTTAACATGAAATTGATGTTAGTGACAGATTTTCAAGCATGTAATTTGTCTCAACATGTGTGTCCTTTTATTTGTAAAAACTCCCAGGACTGAAGAATGAAGTTTCAAAAAGTTATTTATTGTGTCTCCTGGCAGGGTAGAATCCATGGAAAACAATCAACTAACAGAACTGTGTGATGGTCTATAAGATTTGGAATTATACCATTGTTATAGAGGGGAAATAAAAGACATTTCTCCTGTACCAGCTTCTCCTCCCCCACCACCCCTAGTAAGAAGTGGAAAATGAATATACCAAATGAACATACTTGGATTTGATTTTATGATTTGATTTTTATGATGGAACGTCTTGTAAATGGGAGCAGATTCCTAAAAAAATTACAGTGCCAGCCCAGTTCTAAGCACTGCATCCCCAATTACTTTGAAAAGAGGCTCTTGTAAGCCAACTGTGCAGTCACCTCTGATTATAAGGTTTGGAAGGAGTATCTTCCAGGACCTACCCTTAGCCTGATTCAGCAGATGACAATCCATTTCCTTTTAAACTTTTTTTTTGCATCAGAAGATGCAGTAAGTTGTAAGTATTACACAGAATACTTAGGCACAGAAAACACAATAAGTAGTAAGATGTGTCTCTTAAGGGGCTCACAATTAAGTATGAAAAGAGATTATTAGAGAAACAAAGAGTTAAATCTTCTAATAGAGGTGGTGGTAGAAAGGTGTGTTGTAACCAGTCTCTGGTCAAAATGAAACCAATTTCGGCTAGAGGAAGCAGGGATCTGGTTATACAGAACCCAAAGGACTTAAAGTTGGTGAAAAAAGGAAGCAGCAAGTAGAGCAAAGATGGGTTGTCCAACTCCCCTTGATTGCACTCTCTCCAGGGGAGGGAACAATAACCCCTTACTCCTTGAGACCAGTCAACATGTGTTTGCCCTTGAGATAGCTTTCCCTAGTGTCTCTGGGGAGCTAGGAAACAACAGGTTAGGGTCTTTGTAATTCTTGCCTCTGCCAGGGCCTTGGCCAGAGATCTGGGAGGACAACAGACTCTTCCCCTATGTGCTGCTAGAAAACTGGTTGTAATACTGTTTTCTTTTCTTTCTTTCTTAATTTTTTTAAGAGACAGGATCTCACTTTGTTGTTCAGGCTGTAGTGCAGTGGGGCAGTTGTGGCCCACTGCAGCCTCGACCCCCTGGGCTCAAGTAATCTTCCCGCCTCAGGCTCCTGAGAACCTAGGACAACAGGTGCTCACTGCCATGCCTGGCTTTTTTTTTTTTTTTTTTTTTTTTTTTTTTAATTTTTGGTAGAGACAGGGTCTCTTTATGTTGCCCAGGCTGGTCTTGAATTCCTGGCCTCAAGTGATCCTTCTACTTCAGCCTTTTAAAGTGCTGGGATTATAGGCATGAGCCACCAAGCCCAGCTGCTTGTAACATTCTTGAAATGTTGACCCCACTGGAGTGACCAGCAGAGCTTGCCATGCCTCCCGATCTGTACTCTTTGCTGTAGTTTAGATATTTGTCCGCTTCAAATCTCATGTTGAAATCTGATCCCCAGTGTTGGAAGTCGGGTTTAGTGGGAGGTGTTTGGATCATAAGGATGGATCCCTCATAAATAGATTAATGCCCTGCCATGGTGAGAGTAGTGAGTGAGTTCTCTATTAGTTTTCCCAAGAGCTGGTTTTTTAAAAGAGCCCGGTGCTTCCCTCTCTCTCTTGCTTCCTCTCTCACCCTGTGATTTCTGCACACACTGGCTCCTCTTCCCCTTTTGCCATGAGTGGAAGCAACCTCCAGCCTTTACCTGATGTAGATACTGGTGCTGATTTTTGTACAGCCTATAGAATTGTGACCTAAACAAACCTCCTTTTCTTTATAAATCACCCAGACTCAGATATTCCTTTATAGTAACACAAACAGATTAAGACACTTCCCACCCAGTTGTCTCTCAGACCTCATTACGGTTATTCTTCTTACATGTGTTCCACTTTAGCTGCTTGGGTCCCCATGCTTTTCTCAACACACAGGCTGGTGCTCCTTCTTGCCTTTGCATTGTCGTCCCCTCTCCTGGGAACATGCCTCCTTTAGTGACCTGAATGGCTCACCACTTCACCTCCTGTAGGTCTTTGCTTTGGTGTCACCTTCTCAGTGTGGCATTCCCTGGCCATCCTATTTGACACTGGCCCTACTTCTTTCCAGAGTTCTATCTTTCCTGCTTGATTTTCCTCTGTTGTACTCATCCCTACCCACATACTTTGTATTCCTCTTTTTTAATTTGTTTATTGCCTTTTTTCCTCCTTTAGACCACAAGCTCCATGAGGACAGAAATTTTGCTCTGCTTTATCCCCTGATCTCTCCCCAGCACCTAGCACATTGTACCTGGTGTATAATACATTTTTTTAAGATCTCTCCCCAGTACCTAGCACATTGTACCTGGTGCATAATACATTTTTTTTTTTTAAGAGACAGGGTCTTGTTCTATCACCCAGGCTAGAGTGCAGTGGCATGATCATAGCTCACTGCAGCCTCAAACTCCTGGGCTCAAGCAATTCTCCTGCCCCAACCTCCTAAGTAGACGGGACCACAAGTGTGTGCCACCATACCTGGCTAATTTTTTTTTTTTTTTTTTTTGAGATGGAGTCTCCGCTCTGTTGCCCAGGCTGGAGTGCAGTGGCATGATCTTGGCTCACTGCAAGCTCCGCCTCCCGGGTTCATGCCATTCTCCTGCCTCAGCCTCCCGAGTAGCTGGGACTACAAGCGCCCACCACCATGCCCGGCTAATTTTTATATTTTTAGTAGAGACGGGGTTTCATCGTGTTATACCTGGCTAATTTTTTAAAACCATCTGTAGATATGGGGTCTTGCCATGTTGCCCAGGCTGGTCTCCTGGCCTCAAGCAATCCTCCTGCCCTGGCCTCCCAAAGTTCTGAAATTATAGGTGTGAGCCACTGGGCTTGCCTACAAATATTTTAAAGAGTTAAATTAAATATATATACATTTCAAAACTTTTCCTTTTTGTAGAATATGTGCCCCAAACGGCCAATATTCGAACTGTTTTCTCACTATTTTTTTGTAGGGTGAGCTTGCTGATAGCCATATGTGCTAGCCAATACTGGATTTTCTGATGTCTTTATTCATTTAAAAATTATCCTTTATGGTGACTTTATTACTGAGCTCTCCTCTTCTGCTTGTGTACTGTGCAGTCTACTATGGGAGGAGTGAGTCCAGTTAAGGTGCCCTTCTTTAAGGGGAGGCCTGCTAAGTGGATCTTCTCTAGATAGTGAGGAGAACCGGTGAGTGAGCAATCTAGACCAGAACACGTATAATACTGGAGGGGTCTTTAGCCCAGAGATTTACAAAGAAGACCAAAGGATTTATCAGTAATTACCCTATCTATGTAATACATGTAGATAAAGATAGATAGGCATGTATATGCATATATACAGATACCTATGTATATATCTATCTATATACATATATACATGTAGATATATACATACCTATATACATGTAGAAATACAGATGTAGATATAAATATATATATGTGTATAGAGATATGTGTAGACATATATAGATGTATACATATATAGATAGATAGGTCTATATAGAAAACCATCTATCTATATCTAGATAGAGATATGTATTGATAGATATCTCTCCCTATCTATCTCTAGATAGATTATCTAATCTATCTGTAAAACTATCTTAAAACCATACTAATTTAAAAATCAAGATTCATCTTAATTTAAAAATCTTAATTTAAAAGTTAAGAACCATCTTTATTTTGTGGTTCATATACACCATGGAATGTTAGGCAGCCATAAAAGAGAGTGAGATCAAGTCCTTTGCAGGAACATGGATGGAGCTGGATGGAGGTCTTTATCCTTAACAAACTAAGGCAGGAACAGAAAACCAAATACTGCATGTTCTCATTTACAAATGGGAGCTAAATTATGAGAACACATGAACACATAGAGGGAAACAACAGACACTGGGGCCTCTGGGAGGGTGGATGGTGGGAGGAAGCAGAAGATCAGGAAAAACAATTAATGGGTACTAGGCTTAATAGCTGGGTGGTGAAATAATCTGCACAACAAATCCCTGTGACACTAGTTTACCTACATAACAAACCTACGCATGTGCCATTGACCTGAAAATAAAAGTTAAAAAAATTATTAAAAATATGTCAGTAAAAGTCTTTAACCAACACCAAATGGTTCATCCCAAGAGTCATCTTAATTTAAAAATCTTCACATCTTAAGAAGCTACATGGGAGGCTGCGGCAGGAGAATGGCTTGAACCCAGCAGGCAGGGGTTGCAGTGAAGCGAGATGATAACATTGTACTCCAGCCCAGGTGACAGTGTGAGACTCTGTCTCAAAAAAAAAAAAAAAAAAAAAGGAGCAACTTTGCTGCTTAAATTGAGTATAATACCCATTTACATTTAATGTGGTGAATGAAAAATTTGGTTTTCATTTACCACCCTACAACTGAATTTTTAATTCCTCCACATATTCTATTTGCCTTTCTCAACTATTATTTTATAGATAAAAGGACTTACAGAAAGCAAATACATGACTCAATATTCCAATAAAAGTGCTTTTTAAATTTATATTGAGCATTTTATCCTTCTTTCTTAAAAATCTTAAGCTACACACATTACATAGCTAGGCACCGATAAGAATCTAGTACTAGATAACCATTTCAAAGGCATGGATAGAATGCTTTCCAGGTATGGATTGTTTCCATAACTCCCCTTCCATACATTTTAAAGCCATTGCATAAAAAATAAGGAATTTTGTAGAGAGGAGTGAGTTTATATCCTTTAATATTTTCTCACTTTAGAAGTGCAGTCTTGGAATGATATAAACTCTGTAAACAGACTATCATGCTACATTTACAGAGAATTATATCAAGGTGTCTATTTCTAAGACAAGAATAAAAATTATGTTTTTTTCTAATAATAGAAATGGATAAGCAGAATTCTGGCTTCTAATAATGAGAACATACTATCCCCTAGTTTGAAATAAGTTAGATAATTTAACTTTCTCATGTTATCTTGAAGTTAATACATCATTTATATTGAATATATCAGTGCACTACATGAAGTTGTACATTGGGTACCATCCCTTTTATCTTCCACATAAAGTGATTTAGTGTTTTAATACACTTCTTTCCATATCCTGCAGTTTTGCATAGCAAAAGAAGCATGCACTTTGAGGAAAATGTACCTTTTAATTTTCTGTATTTTAAATATTATGGGTACAAAATATTTGTATATAATTATGGAGTACATGTGATGTTTCAATACCTCCTTTTTGATCCCAGATCTTTCCTGAATTTTTTGTCCAATTTGTATTGCGTTATTTATGTTTGAAAAGGAGTAATGATGTTTAGTATATACTGTTATAAAATAACTGATTCGAAGGATGTAAAGTATCTGATACTATGTCCAAATATGATTTTTAAGCAAATGTTCCTAACAATACATAAATAATAACATGGAATAATAAAATAACATGGAATAAAATAAATTCATATAGCTTTATGATTAATAATTTTACCTAAATTAAAAAGTGTTATGTGCAAATAGATGGTATACGACACTTGGCATGTAATAATGCAATTAAGTCCAATTGAATATATTGCTTGATTTATTTCCACAATCTTTGATACATGTATTGTATATCCAAACATCAAAAACCATAAGCAGCCTGTATAATGCCTTTTTTATTCTCTGTAAAGTTTTTAATATAAATATATAAAAGAGCATCTTAAATTATTTAAATAAGTCAATTATTTTATATGTGGATTTGGTATTAGAACATATATCTTCTTTTGCACAATAAACTTTTTTAAGTGTCAGAAATTATATAATTATATAGTGACTTTTGTTCACAAGGTAGTTAGTTGTACGTACCTACAAGATACTTGAAAAATATTTTTGCCGAGATTGGATGCATTTTTCTCTTATAGACTCTTAAAAATGTTAACAAGCCAACACATGAACGTACTGAAGTATTTTTTAATCATCTTTTCTAGTGTTGATAATGAGTTGGCTGATATAAAGTCATTAGAGTGGCAATTCAACAAATATTTTCTATGGCATAACAAATGTCATTAACTTGCTAGTCTGTCATGATGTTGCAAAGCTAAAGTCACATTCATTAGTGTTTTTTGTTGTTGTTGCTGTAGTGGTGGTTTGTTTTGTTACATGAAGTGGCCCACTTCTTGTATTAAATTATTTATTCTTTCTGAAAATGTTCAATCAGAATGTAATAACACCTTTAAAAATGATTTAAAAATGTATTCCCATAGGTGGGAATTGAGCAATGAGAACACTTGGACACAGGGTGGGGAACATCACACCCCAGGGCCTGTCGGGGGGTGGGGGGCAGGGGGAGGGATAGCATTAGGAGAAATAACTAATGTAAATGATGAGTTAATGGGTGCAGCAAACCAACATGGCATGTGTATACCAATGTAACAAACCTGCATGTTGTGCACATGTATCCTAGAACTTAAAGTATATTAAAAAATATATATATTTATTTCTACTGAACACAATGTCTATATATTAGATGACCTAGAACTGGTAGGGGGTTCTAATCCAGGGGATTGTTGATAAACTCAGACAACTTCTATAATTTTTACATTGTTACTCTTAAAGTCTTGTCATTGATTGTCTCAATATTGGAAAATAACATGTCAATATTCAGTGTAATAAACTGGAAGAAAAAATGGGCCAATATCCCATTCAATTAAAGACATTAAAAAGAGTGTGTATGTATTACTTCTGCTCACATCTTAATGTTCAACATGTCGTCACCAAGCCAGATAGAACCATATACTGGGGAATGTAATGTTTATCTGAGAAACCAAATGCCTAAATACAAATTTTAGTAGTACGAAGTAAGAGGAAATAAATATGGGGGATTTTCTAGTCTTCTCTATTATATATAAATTGCAAGATTTGGCTACTTTAAAAAATATTAACATTTACTAATTTTTCATCAATTCAAATATCATATTGTAGAGTGCAATTTAATCAAATTAGATAACAGTCCCAAATATAACATTTAACTGTACATCTTCCAGAAGCCAAAAAATGAGAAATTATTTGTGGCTTTTGGCTAGACAAAGATTTCTTAGATGTGGCCCAAAAGAACAACCTAGAGAACAAACAAAAAAACCAGTTACAACAACAATAAATATGACTTCATAAAAACAAAAAATTCTATATTTCTACCCTATATGCCTCAAACTAGGAATAGACATTTCCAAATTATATCTGATAAAGAATGTGTATCCAAAATATGTAAACTCAATTATAAGGAAAATTACAGACCAACAATAAACAATAAGGAAAAGAATATACTTGAACACATACTTTGCCAGAGGAAATTCAGAGACAGCAAATAATCACATCAAAAGATGTTCAATATCTTTAGCCATTAGAGAAATACAAATTAAATGAGATGCCATTCCACACCTACATATACTTTGCCAGAGGAAATTCAGAGACAGCAAATAATCACATCGAAAGATGTTCAATATCTTTAGCCATTAGAGAAATACAAATTAAATGAGATGCCATTCCACACCTACTAGAATAAATACAATTAAAAATACTCATCATCTTTTGTGTTGGTGATGATTTAGAACAACTGTAATTCTCAAATACTGATGGTAGGAAAGTAAAATGATACAGCCACTCTGGGAAAAAAAAAATGGACTGTTTCTTACAAAGTTAAATAGACCCCCATCATTTTACCTACTTATTCTACTGTTGCTCTTTAAGCAGAAAACAGTATAGCATATATACATACAAGAATGTGTTTGCAAGTGGCCATGACAAACTTATTTATAATAACACTAAACTGTAAACAACCCAAAGTTTATCAATGGGTGAATAAATAAACCAAACACGGTATACTCATAACGTGAGATATAACCACACACACACACACACACACACACACACACACACACACACACACAACCATATTTTCAACAAACGGTACTGGAACAATTGGACATCCACATCCAAAAAAAAAGAATCTAGACACTGTGTTTACACAATGTACAAGAATGGATAATAGATTTAAACATAAAAATGTGAGACTATAGAAGAATGTTATAAGTTGAATTTAATAAAAATTAAAACTTCTGCTCTAAGAAAGTCATAGTTAATATTTAAAAAACAAGCCAAGACTGGGAGACAATATTTACAAAACATGTATCCAATAAAGAACTGGTATGAGCACTCCACAGAACTCTTAAAACTCAAAAAGAAAAAAAAAAGATAAATAATCCAGTTAAAAAATGGACAGGAGATCTGAACAGACATTTCACCGAGGAAAATATATTGATGGCAAATAAGCGAATGAAGTATGCTCAACATCATGTATTATTAGAGAATCGCTCATTCGAACGAGATACCACCGCATGCCTACTAAAATGGCTAAAATCCAGAACACTGAAAACACTAAATTGTGTTGAAGATAAAGAGCAAGGGAAACTCTCATTTATTGCTTGTGGGAATGCAAAATGGCACAGCCACGTTAGAAGATAGCTTTGCAGTTTCTTACAAAGTTAAATGTAGTCTTACCACATGGACTAGTAACTTCACTCCTATCCAAATGAGTCAAAAAAACTTCACTCCTATCCAAATGAGTCACATGACTCCTTAAAATAGCTTTTCTCATAACAAAACTTGGTAGCTACCAGATGCCCCCAACAGGTGAGTAATGGTTCAATAAACTGGCATACCTATAAAATGGGATATTCAGTGATTTAAAAATAAGCTATCAAACCATACAAAACATGCAAGAACCTAAAATGCATACAACTTAGTGAAAGAAGCTAATCTGAAAAGGCTGTACACTGTATAATTCCAATGATACAACATTCTTAAAAAGGGGAAAACTGTAAAAAGATCAGAATTTCCAGTAGTCTCCAAGGGAAGGGATGAATAAATCAAGCACAGAAATTTTTAAGAAAGTAAAACTATTCTTATAATATTGTAGTAGTGGTTACATGACATATGCATTTGTCCAAACGCATGAAATGTATAATGTCAAGAGTGAACCCTAATATAAAACTAATGTATGGACTTTCATTTATAATATGTCAATATTGATGCATCAATTATAACGAATGTACCACACTAATCCAAGATATTAATCATAAAGAATATGGAGAGTAGAAGAAAGTGTATGGAAATTCTCTCTGCTTTGTTAGTTTCTACTATAAACGTAAAATTGTTCTAAAAATAAAATCTATTAATTAAAAAAAGAATGAACTATTGCTACCAGTATCAACATAGGCGAAAGTCAGAGTAGTTATGTTGAGTGCAAAAGACAGACAAAAAAGAATAGATTTTGTGACTCCATTTACATAAAATTCTACCAAGTGTAAACCATTCTGTAGTATCAGAAATAGATTAGTAGTTGCATGGAGATTGAGTAGGGAAGAGGGGAAGAAGCGATTACTAAAGACACAAAATAACTTCAGGGAAGTGAATATGTTCATGATCTTGATTGCCATGGTGTTTTCTCGTGTACCAATATGCCAAAACTTTAAAAATACACTGGATATGTTCAGTTTATGTCAATTACACTTCAATGAAAAACATTTTAAAATATTATGTATCTTGATTTTATGCTTATGCAGAGATATTATTTCTCTGCATAAAAAAGGTATATATGCATATATGCCATATATACCTTTTGGCATAGTGTAAAGATATATAAACATAGTATATAAATATGGTATTTGTAATATTCTTATTCATATGCAAAATATAGTTTACTTTTAATTTTTTAACTTTTCTTCTGTTTTTATTCCGTATCCTCCAGACATTAACACTGAGAACTTCATATACAATTACATATTTAAAAATGAGTCATGTCTAGTATAATACAAAATATCAGCAATGTAACGTGACAGGAACAAAATATAAATGAAGTTGCTTTGTATAGATTCATTTTTCTCATTAAAACATTTCATAGCATAATGCACTTATTCAAAAGTATTAACATATATATTTAAGTGCACTATGAAAAACAGAATCAAGAAATGGATACCATATTGATACTAAATCCTATGTTAAAGTATGTTGAATAATTCGTAGTTTTTCAAAAGTAACTCAGTCATGTCACATATTAATAATGAATATATTTATTTTTAGGAACTCCTTTTAAATAACTATTAGGTATATAGTTTTATGCTGAGTTTTATGAGAAACACAATAAGCATATCATTTTATGTCAGGAATAGAGAGTATATTTGTCCCTAGGTCATTTTCTATAGCTGTCAAAATGTTTCAACATCTTTTAGAACTCCAGAAAATGAGGAAGAAATATAGAAATGTTCCTAGGTTGTTCTTGTAACTTTATCTAGTTTTTTTCTATTCTTAATTATATTAATTCTTCCCAATGGCTTATTTAAAAATGGGTCTTCAATTGTCTTTCATTAAAATTCTATGGGGTCTCATTACGTGTAAGAAGGTTTTATTTCACACCAAGTATTTTTCTGTTATGTAAAAGGAAAATAAAGCTCTGGGCTAAAGAAATAACTTTTTTAAAAAATTTTCCCTATTGGGAAGTAGTTGAATATATACTTTGCTGTTTTCAGCTAAAACATATTAGAATGTGATTCTATTTACAACAAAAATGAAATAAGGCTGTGTTACATTGGCAAGCTGTAATGGGAAATGTATTTGTCACCCTAGGCAAACTGAAAGGGCAGATATATTGAATTCAGTAATGCTGAATAATTAAGCCCTCACTTATAACCCTTATATTAGAGAATTCAACTTAATAAGTTAAGTCATTTTCCAAGTGTTTGTTAATGTATCAAAAGGATTTATACATTTCACAAAGGGGGACTCAAGCTAAGCTAAAGATTTATAAACACAACCAATTCACTAGAGAAATAATTTTAACCGTGTTTTTCTTGTTTTTCCAAACCTTACTCTTTCATGGAAAAAAATAAAGGCAATATTATAAAATAGATGAAAGTGCAGGGTAATTACCTTGCATTGAGAAGCCTAGAGCTCACCTGATCCACAATATTTGATAATCCATGTCACCCCTGGTTTACTTCCACAGTTCCCTTGAAGATTGAAGAGCTGTCTGAATACCACAGTCTTAGTATACTATGTTTTGTAAGGAAACCTGCCCACTCAAGAATACCTTCTATGAGAGCCAACCCATTCAGCATGTTAGGAAGTTTGCTTCCATGTATGATTCAAGCCCACCTGGTCCAGTGGATTGGACAATGAATGAACGCTTGATTTAGGTGGAAGTTATCCATTTATTGGTTGGAAATCAATAAGCCTCTTTCACTTGAGAATTCTAATTGAGATGAAGGTTATAATAATGATGCATACTGGATGCACAAAGCCATATAGCCTCCATAATGTTATAAAGAATAATATTATTGATCCACAGGCAAGCAATGGAGATACAAAGAGTACAAGAGTAAGAAAATAAATGTTGCCCTGGAGTGAGAGAAATTGATAAAAAGCCACTGCCTTGATGTTGGACAGGTTCTTAGTTCTATGTTCAGCCTTTATTTTCTGCCCTTGGATTCTACACTGTACATTTCAAGTTTTTTTACAAAATGGTTTTGACTACAGAAAAAGCAAGTGTGCCATTATCCCATTTTTGACATATTTTGGGAGAAATAAAGTAAAAACTATTTTTTTAATATTTATTTATTTATTTATTTATTTATTTATTTATTTATTTATTTTTTGAGATGGAATTTCGCTCTTGTTGCCCAGGCTGGAGTGCAATGGCGCAATATTGGCTCACTGCAACCTCCGTCTCCCGAGTTCAAGCGATTCTCCTGCCTCAACCTCTCAAGTAGCTGGGAGTACAGGTGTGTGCCACCACACCCAGCTAATTTTTGTATTTTTAATAGAGGTGGGGTTTCACCTTGTTGGCCAGGCTGGTCTCGAACTCCAGATCTCAGGTGATCCACCCACCTCGGCCTCCCAAAGTGCTTGGATTACAGGCTCCAGCCACCGCACCCGGCCGTAAAAAGCATTAAGAGAGTTTTTCAGAGTAGTTTCTGAGTTACATGTAAAAACAAGATAAAAAAATTTACTAATAGCTCTGCAGCTTTCAAAATTAAGCAGTCAGATTTCTGTGTGGCTGAGAATTGCTAGCAGTCTCCTCCGTTAGAATTTGCCATGCCCAAAATGTCCCATGCTATACAGTTAAATGATTAATGTTTGAGTAATATTCAGTTTGAAATTTAAATTTTTCCTCTTGAGGGGAAAACATGCTTAGCCTTTCATTATAAAATTATCCAAGCTTTCCTCTCATTTCTATGTTCAAATTCATTGCATGAGTTAAAGCATCTTAAGGCTTCCTTCTAAACAATTTATATATTTGCCCTACGATTTCAACTAGTCCTAATCTCAGAGGATCACTTCACTGGAAAAGTTGTGCAAAAGTAAAACGAAATGGAGATTAACTATACTAAATTGTCATGTTGAGCTTCGTGATAAATTTAGTTACAAAGATATTATTCAAATTGGAATTAACTGCAAATCTCCCCCCAATGAAAGTGGAGTGAAATTGGCCGGGTGCGGTGGCTCACGCCTGTAATCCCAGCACTTTGGGAGGCCGAGGCGGGCGGATCACAAGGTCAGGAGATCGAGACCATATTGGCTAACACGGTGAAACCCCATCTCTACTAAAAATACAAAAAATTAGCCGGGCGCGGTGGCGGGTGCCTGTAGTCCCAGCTACTCAGGAGGCTGAGGCAGGAGAATGGCGTGAACCCAGGAGGCGGAGCTTGCAGTGAGCCCGAGATCGCACCACTGCACTCCAGCCTGGGCCACAGAGGGAGACTCCGTCTCAAAAAAAAAAAAAAAGAAAGTGGAGTGAAATTACTATATAAACCTAGAGTTATGAACATCAGAAAACATGATATAGCAATAAAGTAATTTAATGTTGACTTAGGGAGTCATAAATCAGATATTTTATTCAACGAACTCTGATTTTTAATTATAACGTAAGAATTATAAATTAGTATCTAAAAGTCATTGTTTCTTAATAAATAATGAGTTGACAAAAATAATAGTTGAAAAATAAAATTATATAGGATGGTTATATTGTGAAAATTTCCATTAAAAATTAAAATAATAAAAAAATCGCCTTTGGAAACTACTTTTATTTAAAATATCAGGAATCCAGAAAATTGCAACTTTTCTTGATCTACATAATCATTTTTACATGAAATTTTAATTCCATAACCATTGCAAAGATTTTTCTTAATAAACACAGTATTAAGTATCAAACACCTTCTGTGAAAGTACAATAGAACACAAACATATACTAGAGATATTGTTTTCTGCATTTATGCATGAACAATAAGATTTTTTAAATTTTTGACTTATCTGTGGAAATATGATAGAGAATTGTATGGTATGGTTTAAGTATTATTCATTTCTGCACTTAGATGAGGTAATTTTTTCTTTTCTAGATAAACTCTAATTCCACTTTTTCCATACAGTACACACATATACATGCATATATATGTTTCTGTTAAACAACAGTAGTGAGATTTTAACAAATGACTTACCTGTCTTTCTGAAAAGTGTCTTGTCTGTTAATGTCATATGAGCCTGTAAGGGAAGAAAGGGACTATATTACAAAGGAACAGAAATGATCCAGGAGAGTATGAATACAACTGGATTCTAAGAATACTGGGCTATTGGGTATTGGGATATAGATTGGGATAAAAGAGTATACCCCTATCAGAGCACTGTCAGTTTCACTACTGATATGGTACAAACACATAACAGGATGGTTCGTAGCATCAAGGAAAAAGTGATGGCCTCAGGTGAGGTTGCAATGTCAAATTTCCCATGGAAGATGACAGAAGATGCATATATCACAAAGAAAATAATATGTAGAATAGTTAAAATCTACTCTCAATAATTTTTAAGTTATTTTAAATTATATGCTATTGTTATTAACTATAGTCACTATTTCCATAGTCACTACAACTACAATCACTATAGATCTATTACATAATGTACAATAGATCTCTGAAACTTATTTCTCCTGTCAACTGAAATTTTGTTTCCTTTGACCAACATTGAGATAGCAACTTTTATCACAATTTAAAAATTATAATAACATAAAACAATGTAATTTTATAACAAGGAAAAGGCATTTCTTGAAAGTTAATTCACAAAATTGAATGAATGAATTGCTAAACAAAACGATGTCAACAACCAGAACAACTCTAGATATCTCAGGCAGAATGAATTCAAAGAAAACGACTGCACATATTTCTTCTCAACATTAGATTCACAATGGAATCACCTGGGGCAATTTTTTTTTAAAGAAACGAATGCCTACATATCATGTCCAGACTCTGATTTATTTGTTATTAAATATGGCCTGGACATCACTCTACTCCTGACGTCCCTGCTCAAGAATCAACTTCCGGGAAGAGAGACTGGGACTCACTGATTTTGGTGCTATTCAGTTGAACTATGCCCTTACTGATTTTCCACCTGCTGGTTCTATTCATTATTGATAGAGAGGTGTTAACACCTCCAATTATCATAGTGGATTTATCTGTCTGTTCCTGCAGTTCTATCTGTTTTCACCTCATGTGTTTTGACAGCCTGTTACATGCAAACACATTAAGGATTGTTACGTTTTCTTGGAAAATTAAATCCTTTGTTACTATGTAATACCCCTTTGTATCCCCCTATAATTGTTCTTTCTCTGAAGTCTTTTTGTTGGAAATTAATATATTAATCCAGCTTTCTTTTAATTAGTATTATCATGTTATATATTTTTCAAAGTTAATTCTCAAGCTTGTCCACAATGTGCTTCCAGAAATTAATCAACTGCATATTAAAGTTTTCTACTCCATTACTAACTCCTGTGGGGGCTCCTGGGCTTTTGCTCCACTAGGCTATAATTCTTTGCATTTTCCCATCTCTCTAATTTAATGGGGATTTAGGGTGGGCGCAGCAGTTTTTCTGTGACCTCAGTCCTCTAATGGATCTAAAATGAGTTGTTGATAGTCTGTTTGTACAGCATTTTTCTTGTTGTAAGGATGGGAGTGATGACTTTCAAGTTTCTTACATACTTGAATAACTGACATTTTTTATTATATACTCACCCCTGTGGTGGTAGAAGAATGCTATAAATTTTGGATCCACAGAACTAAAGTACTAGGAGAGGGAATTTTTCACAGGAAAGATGGTTGCTACAGAAAAAAAAAGATAAAGTCTTCTCTGCTATCTCTGCTAGACTCTCTAAACTCTTCCTGTCTCTGGAGTCCAGACACCCAAGCCTCCTTTTAGTTTTGAGCTTTCACTATGCTTTTATCTTAAAGACTTTGCCTACTATGTCTTTTCTGCTGAGAAAGCACCTTATCCCCTCAATTACCTGGTTAACATCAAATATCAAATCATGCTTCTGACTGAAGGCCAAGTACCACCTCCAG
The DNA here is from genome assembly GCF_000001405.40 of Homo sapiens. Lineage (NCBI taxonomy): Eukaryota > Metazoa > Chordata > Mammalia > Primates > Hominidae > Homo > Homo sapiens. The sequence continues at coordinate 87,328,520 of NC_000010.11, forward strand.
AAGAAATCTTCCCTAAGAACAGCCTACATACAGTTAATTGTGTGATCCCTTTTCTTATATCCTTCGAATACTCTTCCTTCACATTACTCTTCCTTCACAGCCTTTAGCCAGACAACACATTACAGGAAAACAGGGAGAACATGATTTTGCCATTCACTCTTACCTTTGCCTAGCCCAGTGCCTGGCAAATGATAGATTCTCATTATATATATATATATATTTGAATGAATTAATAAATCCAAGTAAAGTAATTGATGTTTTGGAGTTATCTAAGGCTGTTAAAGTCAGTTAAATATAGTTAATGTGAAGCAAAAAACCGTAAACAAAATTAACGTAATATACACGCTGATGTTACTATTTTAGAAAAAAACACAATAATTTACAAATTCCTTTCAATAATTCAATTAATGTTTATGAGATTTGATTGAAGACAAATCCATCACGGCAATCTGTGAATGCTTTGTTGTAAATAAAAGGTAATCCTTGTAATAAGCAAAAACAAATTAACATAACAAATGTCAATTTACAGATAGACAAAAAGTGATTGTTTTCTGAATGAAAAGAGGATTATTAACAGTTGGCATAAGAAATCAAAAATTAGTTCAACAATTAGTCATATGGAAATGTCAAATATTGACAATGTGATAAAGAAAACAAGAGTTTCTGCAAATAACCTCCCATCCCTGATGTGAGTCTTTCACGTCATTCTATAGTTCAACTAGTTCTTAATAACTCAAAAACAGGAAAGATAAAATCCATCATTTTGTTTTACTACCCAGATCCCTCCCGTAGCTGTCACACAGAGTGTGATTTATGACTTGTAAGTTGTGCTATGGAGCTTGACAAGTAAGTTTGATTTCATTTAATATTTTCTTTAAACCATCTTAGATCTTCTCTTTGACAAGTATTTCATCTATTAGTGTTCTCAAAATGTAAAATGGGTAACTTAATGAGAACAAAAATTGTACCCAAAGATATATTTGCACTATCTACATATTTGCAATTAAATCTTAACAGATTTAATTGTAATAGAATCTAATGGTTTTCCTCTTGAATTTCTTTAGACACCAGAAATTTTTATTACTAATAAATAATGTTTAGCTTCCTAGTCACAAACCAAACAGAAAGCAAATTTCATCAGAGTTTAGAATGGTTAAAACCAACATAGCTGCAATATTTTTAGTTTTGCTTTAAAATTTTGTTTAATCAAACAGTAAATCAATCAGAGTTGATCATTATGTAATCCACAGACCTTGAAATAACAGAGATATATTTCTCCGCAGATCAATATCTATATATGTTTTTAAGATAAGTAGAAATTCCCCTGAAGATCATAAAGAAAAAGTATGTCATATAATATAGTTAAAAAAATAGTTATTAATTTTTTCTGCTTATGATGTTCCAGAATCTGTACTAAGCATTTTAGAGGATTATTTTATTTAGTTCCCACAATAATCCCTTGAGAAATATACTACAATAATCATCTTTAATTCACAGTTATTGAAAATGAGACACAAAGAGGTTAAGAATTTTGTCCAAGGTCAGGCAGCTAGCATGACTTAGCAAGGGTGTAATTAAGAAAAAATATGTTTTTCTTATCTTATGGGAAATTTGGAAAAGCAAATATCTACATTCTCTTTTTAATAAAAAAAATAAAATATAAAATGTGAGTCTCTCTTAAAGCAGGGAATCAACTTTAATTAAATTGAAACAATACATAATCCTTTGTTGTTCAGGTTCTGTATTATTATTATCTCTGCTGACAGCAAAAGCTAAGAATAGAAAATATTTCTGACCCAAGTTGGCAAATTATGAATCAACCTGCTAAAGAATCAGAATAAACTAACAAGTGGAATTAAATATGATTATTCTATATTATATGTATAATATAAAAATTTCTTATTGTTATAATTTTACTAAGATTCTACCAGTTTCAACTAAATTATCTTTTAAATCCAAGCTTAATAAAAGAAATTGGCATGAGATGTTTTCATAGGAAATAGTGACAATTCATATTATTTTTAATTAAGTGCAAATGAGATACATTATTTCTGTATTTCATTTTCCTTCTAAAAGTCATCTTTAAAGTTTTAGTTTTTCTGAAGTTGACAGCTATTACTAACTCTTTTGGGCCAAGTTTTTTGAGATAGATTAATTTATAAAATTAGGAAGAAACTAAAGTAGTTGCAAAAGTTTCTAAAAAGATAATAAAGTAGTTGTCTCTATGTTATAATAGAAAATGAGAATGTGAATGCAGATCATTTTGACTGTTTGTGTTTTCAGCAAATATTACCTGAATATTGATATATAAATTAGAATTCCCCAAAGGAAAACATTTTAAAATGTTAAAATTAATAAAATCATTAACTTACATACTTGTCCTTAGTATCAGGACAATCTCCAGTGGATTCAACAGAGCATCTGCAGTTTTGTTGAACAAAGGTTTCTGCAATATAGACTTATGGTGTGAGCTTACTGGGTCACATTCTTTGTTCCTTCTTGGAGCTTTGGGAGGCTTTTATAAAAGAGCTGCTGCAGTAGAAGGACTGAGTTGTGTCACACTGAGGATTTAAGTTTCTATGGGAGAATCAAATTCACTTTAGTATAGGGATTTAGTGGGTTTCCCTAGCCTTATTAATAAAATACTAATACGACATTAAAAATGCATACTTTGTCTTACAATAATCCAATTAAGACACTATTTTTGCATAGCAAAATTCTTTACTAAACACCAGTTGCAAATCAAGTGAAATTGCATTGGCAAGAGGTGATCATACTGCTCTCCTACTCCTGCCCTTTCCTCCTACTCCAGCTGAAAATACTTGGTGCAAATGTCCTTTTATAGGAGACTTTGACCCCAGGGTATAGAAAAGGAAAGGAAAAGGTCACATATATATATGTCTTGTCTATAACTGAAACCTAATACCAGCACAAAAGCCTAAAAGGACCGATTTTTAGAGGGCGTTGGCAGGAAACTCTTTGCTCTGCTATCATCTGTTTTAAGCTACTTTTATACATGATTTATTTTTTCAGCTTCTACTCTGCTACTATTCAACTGCAAATGCAATTTGTTATATTGTACACTTCAACACCTTGAACAGCATCCTAATTATTATTGAAATGTATTACGAGTTCGTAAAGAAAACAGCATTTTGTTTCTTCAGTCATCTACTTAGGATGAAAGTGTTATTTAGAAAACAATAAATGGGAAAAATGATACATTAAAAATAAAAATTGCTATTAACTTTTTAGATCAAATAAACCAATTTTAAGCATTTTCATGGACCTTTATAACCAAAATAAACATTTAAATACAGATAATTTAATTCAGTATTTTGTTTCTTGAAAATATTGGAATATGTGTTTTAGATAATGCATATATTTCTGTTATTGAAAAATAAGCTTTCAATAGTCAGCTGACTTCATACGTAAATAATAATACCATTTTAAATTTATTCAAGGATTTAGGTGTTCTTAAATATGACTTTATAACTTATTTTACTCCCTTAAAGTAAATATTTATGGCATCTGTAAGTCATTGTAAAATTGTAAAATTGGTATAGCATAGTATTCAGATTGTCCTTTGTAATGTTTTATACTATTCACATTTGTATTTAATCACAAATTTGATACAATTTAGCCAAACCTTCAACACATTTATGAAGAGAGCACTACCGAGACTTTATACAATGGAATAAAATAACAAAATGTGCTGACAGCATTCTTCCACTCAAAGAGGTATATATATATTTTTTATTCTAATTCTTTAATTTTATTTTTTAGCACCCAATGATAGGGAAAATTACTGGAAGTGTGATTAAGGCTATTATAAGATACATAAACTGTATGGCATAAGCATTCTCAACTCAACTTCACACTCTACATCGTTTTATCAACTTAGTATGCCAGCTTTTTAAGTTTGGTGGAATCTGGTATTCCACACCTACATGTCTCTGAATCCCATCCGTGTACTGATGCCAAGATGAACTGAACCAGGGATGAATTTTTCTCTTATATGGAAACATGAATATATTCCAAACTGGAGTGAGCTCTCATCAGCGGTTTGCCTATGGTAATTACTTTGTGCCTTGTAATGGGTCATGTAGTATCCTCATAAGGGTGCGTCTGAGTCCTAGACCCTCTCCCATTCCAGTACCTGTAAATATCACCTTATTTTGAAATAGGAGCTTTACAGATATAATAAAGATCTCAGGGTGAGATCATCCTGAATTTAGAGTGAGTCATGGGTATTTGGGACACAGAAACACAAGCAAGGTCATGTGAAGATAGAGACTAAGGTTGGAGTTATGCTGTCACAAGCCAAGGAGTGCCAGGAGCCAACAGAATCTAGAAGAGGCAAGGAAGGATTCTTCCCTAGAGCCGTCAGAGGGTGTATGGCTCTGCCTCCACCTTGATTTTGGTCTTCTGGCCTCTATAATTGAGAATTTTTTTTCTTTTTTTACTATTTTAAGCCACAAATTTTGTAGCAATTTCTTTTGGCAGCACTAGGAAACTAGTTAATACCTCTATTGTTTGGTTAAACAAAGAACACTATTAAGTATTTTTAAAACAATGTACATCAGTGTTGATTATGGTAAGCATACAGTTTATAATCAGATAGGTTTCTGTGTAAAATTTCATGTTATTATATTGATTTGTTTTAACCATACAAGACTTGCTTGGATGTGGTACCATTGAATACCATCCCCATTCCCTCCTGTCCCACAGCTTTTTGAAATGTATGGGGCTTTGTTCTAGACTGAACATTCCTTTTCCCTCAAATTTCATATGTTAAAGCCCTACCCCACAATGTGACAGTATTGGGAAGTGAGGCCTTTGAGAATTAATTAGGTTTAGACAAAGTCATGAGCATAGGGCCCTCATCAACGGAATTAGTGTCCTTATAAGAACAGGAAGAGAGTCTATAGAGTGCTCTCTCTCTCTCTCTTTCTCTCTCTATCTGCTATGTGAGGATACAGCAAGCCCGGAAGAGGACCCTCACCAGGAAACAAATTTGCTAGCACCTTAATCTTGCACTTTCCAGCTTCTACAATTGTGAGAAATGTCTGTTGTGTAAGCAATTCAGTCCATGATATTTTGTTATAGAAGCCTGGACTGACTGATAAAGGCTGGAACATGCTGGAGAGATGGTACAAAAACTAATTTTAGAAAAATATTTTAAGTTGTAAGATCTGAAGCAAAAATCCCTTACATATTACCATTTACATCACCAAATTACTCCATTTACAGTATCAAATTAAGGAAATTTATGTTTTATTCAAGCCTTTTAAAATCAGCACACCCACCTTGCAGAAGTAATTAATAACCCATGATTATTAATTATGTTGGCCAAGTTAATTTTCATCCAGTATTACTTGCAGGGAAAGTTTGAAATTGATGAATCATCTCCCTTTTGAGATGTCACTTGTAGAACTAAAGGCTACCTATAATTTCTGTAATTGTTACTCTTTAATGGAACTTTAAACTTCTAAGAAAAATATTTCAATATATTGTTAAATTGACTTCAATGACTAAGATTGTGGTGGAGAGGATATTTCCCCAAACTAACTCTTTCTCTGACACTTAGGGGTTCATTGTAATAGTAACACCTTGCTAGCAATCATCTGCTAGTGATTTGCTCATGGAAGAAGAAGGCTAAGGAAATTTAGGTTTGATGACCTTTTTCAGAGTTTCTGGGAAAGCAAAACCTTCTCTCTACTACTCACTGCAAACAAGCATGTTGTGCAAGCTACTGCTGCCAACCAGGTCACATCCATTAGTGAAGTCAATGCTGTGGAGAGAGACATTCAAACCTGGGTCACTGATAGTATCATTTTCAATTTCTGACCCAATCAATTCTGGGGCTTCCAATTCCTCTCTCCATGGTCTTATGTGAAATAATACATTTTTTAAACTGTTGAAGTCATATTGAGCTGAAATTTCCCTTAATTACAACTCTTAATATTTTAACTATTTATGCTAAGTTTCTTTGTTCCAGAAAAAGTACTTTAACTCGGCCGGGCGCGGTGGCTCACGCCTGCAAGCCTGTAATCTCAGCACTTTGGGAAGCCGAGACGAGCGGATCACGAGGTCAGGAGATCGAGACCATCCTGGCTAACACGGTGAAACCGCGTCTCTACTAAAAAAAAAAAAAATTAGCTGGGCGCGGTGGCGGGTGCCTGTAGTCCCAGCTACTCCGGAGGCTGAGGCAGGAGAATGGAGTGAACCCAGGAGGCGGAGCTTGCAGTGAGCCGAGATCGCGCCATTGCACTCCAGCCTGAGCGACAGAGCGAGACTGTTCAAAAAAAAAAAAAAAAAGTACTTTAACTCATTTTCATTTTTGTAGGACTTGAATTTTTTAGGGCAGTTTCAGTTTCACAGAAAAATTAAGAGGAAGACATAGAGATTTACCATATATATGTAGTAATATATATTATATATGGTAATATACCATATATTACTATATATATATATATATATATATATATAACAAGCATGTGGAGGCAGGGTATATTATATATATACACACACACACACACACACACACACACCCTGACATAATATATATATATATATACACACACACACACACACACAACCCCTGACATAATGTGTATATATAATATATGTTATATATTATATTATATATGTAACATATCCTGCCTCCACATGCATGGCCTCCTTCATTATCAATATCTTCCTCCAGAGTGGTACGACTGTTAAAATTGCCTCGCCTACACTAATACAATTTTATTGCCCAGTGGTAAATATACATAACATAAAAGGTACCATTTAATCATTTTCAATTCTAAAACTCAGTGATATTGAATACATTCACAATGTTGTATAATTAACACTGTTTTCATAACTTTTCTATCACATCAAACAGAAGTTCTGTACCATTAAGCACTAATTCTCCATTCCCCTTGCCCCAGCCTCCATGCCCTGGAAACATGCAATCTGCATTCCCACTGCATGAATTTGACTATTCATGATCTTTCATATAAGTAGAATCATATACTGTTTGTCCTTTTGTGTCTGGCTTATTTTATTTAGCATAATATTTTCAAGGTTTACCCATGTTGTAAACATGTATCAGAACATCATTCCCTTTTTATGGCTAAATAATCTTCCCTTGTATGTACATGCCACATTTTGTTTATCTACACATACAGGTTTGTTTTCACTTTTTGACTCTTGTGAATAAGAATGAGTGATGGTATCTGGTGTGTGCATACAGCCATTTTCTTACTAAAGGCCAACAGCATCAAGCAGTCTACTAATGGTTGTTATTTATCTGATTAGGATCCAGAGTTCCAAAAAGGTTAATTCTTATTTTTTCCAGTTTAATGGCAGTTTTTGTGGAGGGATTGACTTCTATAACTTCCTATTCCAATCTTCTAAAATCCACTTTAAAAGAATGGTTTAAATTGTGTGCTTGTAAGATGAAATTGATAAACAATTATTTTAATAACTTTCAAAATTACATCATAGAGATAATGTCCTTTGACTATTGGGTGTTCATATATTTGGCATGTTATGAACAACCTTCTGGAAGATAAAGGCCTTTTATCTCATACTTAATATTAAGACAGGAACCAGTGTGCTAGCAATGGCTTTTGGGTTTGATGTGATATATTTGCATGTAATGATTTTTTAAAACTTAGAGAGAAAAATCCTCTCATACAAAACAAAATAGTTTTTACTGTTATGAGAAAGTAGTTATTAATTACTTATAAAACATGCAAGTATCTTTATGATATTTGGTGACTTATTTTTCTCCAGCCATCTTGTCTTGTTGTTAGTGGGGAAAAAAATGGGGATGCTCTTTATCTATGAAAATGTGAAAAGTATATACACATTTTAACTATACATGGTTTCCCTAAAAATTCTTCTTCTGTTTTTAATCCTCTAAAATGATCATTGATATGTACAAATAAATATTGATGATAGCAACTGAAGGATCATTTTTGCTGTTATCAGAAATTGAAAATACTGTAACAGTCTATCAATAGAGAAATGGTTATGTACATTATGATACATAGCATATGTCCATATTTAGAATACGTACCAAATGTATACAACAAAGTACAATGAATACATGATTATACTAAGATGGATAGGCATGGATCCACATATTACTCTGTTTGTACATGGTCTTTTCCAAACAGAAATACAATGTAAGAAAGAAGAAAAGAAAAATAAAGAGAAAGAGAATAAAGGCGACAAAATAAAATATAAACCAGGATGCATAAGCTGGTCTCACCTTAGGGCTGGAACACCAGTAAAGCTTCTCTTCTCTGGAAAAAGCTTAGGTCTCTGAAGTTTTCTCAGTGCATCAAAACTGACAGCAGCAGGAATATGGTTTTGCTAAAGGCAACAGAAGAGCAAAACAGTCTCAAGATTTAAATATTAATCCAAAGGTTAAACTTTTTACCTTAATGTTGCTACTTTCTGTATGCACATCCCACAGGATGTAGGAAGGTGGAAAGGATGAAGGAATGTGGAAAATGTAGAAAATTAGAAAATAAGGTAAATTTAAAAGGTAATACGACTAACATTCATTCATTCACATTAAGCTCCTACCTTGTACCACATTCTATTGTAGACACTGCGGATATAGCAGTGAAAAAAAGAAAATAAAGAAAAATATGCCTTTTTGGAGCTTACATTCTCTTGGAAGGAGATGTGTAACAACATAAATAATTAAACTATATAATATGTTAAGTGTTGCTAAGTGCTATGGAGGAAAGTAAAGCAGACAAAGCAAATAAAGAACATGAGGAGGAGATATAATTTTAAGTAGGGAAATAAGGAAGGCATGACGGAGACAGTAGCATTTGAGTGAAAGACTTGAAGAAGGTGATATGGTTTGACTGGGTCCCCCACTAAATCTAAAGCTTGAATGGTAGTTCCCATAATCCCCACATATCATGGGAGGGACCTGGTGGGAGACAATTGAATCATGGGGGCAGTTACCCCCACGCTGCTGTTCTTGTGATATGAATGAATTCTCATGTTCTCTGAGGGTTTTATCAGGGTTTTTTCCCCCATTTTGCTTGGCACTTCTCCTTGCTGCCACCACGTGAAGAAGGATGTGTTGCTTCCCCTTCCACCATGGTTGTAAGTTTCCTGAGGTCTCACCAGCTGTGCAGAACTGTGACTCAATTAAATCTCTTTCCTTTATAAATTACCCAGTCTAGGATATATTTTTATTAACAGCATGAGAAGGAACTAATCCAGGAGATAAGGAAACAATTCAGGGAGGAATTTGAAGACAGGTGTTTTCAGTCAGAGAAACCATGTACAAAGTATCTAATATGAGAGTGCTATGGTCTGAATGTTGACAACCCCCCCCCCCATTACTGTTGAAATGTAATTCACAGTATGATACTATTAAAAGTTAAGGTCTTTGGAAGGTGATTATGTCATGAATACAGAGCCTTCATGAAGGAGATTGGTGCCTTTATAAAGGATGCCTGAGGGGGCTGGTTTGTCCCTTCCACCATATGACGACTCCACCATGTGAAGAAGAAGATGGGTCTATGAACTAGGAAATAGGGCCTCATCATATATGGAATATGTGAGCACTTTGATCTGGGACTTAGCTTCCAGAACTGTGAAAAATAAATTTCTGTCATTTATAAGCTACTTAGTCTATGGTATTTTGTTATAGCTGCTCGAATGGGCTAACACAGAGACAATTCCCAGCCTGCCCAAATAGCACCAGGAAGTGTTGGGTACAGCAAACCTGGAACAGAGGCATGAGGGGAAGAGCAACAGGGCTGTGATCAAAGAGGTGTGCCTGGTGGGGAGCATGAGTAGAGCTATATAATCTGTACAATAATGACTCAGAGTGGAATTAGAAGTCCTTAAAAGTGAGTGAGCAGAGTGGCATGATCTCCATGATACTATGTTATATTCTTGCTTGGGTATTGAGAAAAGACTGAAGGTGAGGGCTAATGCAGAAGCAGGAAGGGGGATAAAAATTCAGATGAGACATGATTTTGGCTTGGCCTGGGTGGATAACAGCAGTAGTAAAAATTATTTAAATGTTTTGAAGGTGGGTTTGCTGAGAAGTAAAGGATGTGTGGAGAAAACTGGATTGAGAATTGTATAAGGACTGTATTGTATATTGTATGAGAGTGTAGATCCAGGATGAGTCACAGTATTTTTGAAGTTGTAGTAAATGGAATGAACTAGAAAGATAGAAGTTAATGTTCAGAAGGCAGGAGACTTAAAAGTTAGATTGTAAAAATTTGCAATTAGGAGTAATAACGTGGTTTGAGCTGAGATCATGAGATTGAATAGCTAGATACTGAAGATAGCAAGTACATTGGAAATGACGAGGTCAAATGTCAAAGAAGATAAGTAATTTAAATGAGACATCAAAATAATGGCAGTAAGTCAGGTTGTAAAGACTTCAAAGAATGAGGGAAAGTGACTAAACATTGGGAGAGTGATCAATATAATCAAATGGTATGAGATTCCAAGCTGGAGGGGTTTGAGGAGAAGGAAGTAGAAGTATTCTGCAAGAGGACACTTATTTTACTTCTAGAGGCAGTGGTTAGAGCGCTGAGGGTGAGAACTAGTCTGCACTTAGGGGGAGACATGAGAAGCAGCAGCATCAGTGAGAGACAGATGACAATAAGAATGAAAATGTAAAGGGAAAATTGAGAAACTTATAAAAATTGAGATTCTTCTATGCACTCTGTACGTTTCTTACAGAAGCTTTCAACGCATTTAATTTCATTTAAATCTTGCAATACTCTTGAGAGATATTATCATTCCCTTTTTACCAAAAAAAGGCTGAATGGCCAAGATCACATAAAATCACATAAGTAATAGAAGTCAAAAGTATGACTTTAACCCATCTAGTGTTATAAGAACCACATAATCTTCAATAAGTTGAAAGTATCTTAATTAAATTAAAAAAATTAATAAAATTTTTTTCAAAAGATGTATTCAAGTTATCAATGTGAAGAAAAATGAACATATTACTTAGAAACAGCCCTGGATTAGAGTCCCAATTATATCACTTAATAATTGTGTGGTTTAGGTAAGCCATGTAAAGTTGCTGTACTACTTAAATTTAAAATAAAGACAATTTTACCTAAACATAAAATTGTTGTAATGTTATTGTGCAGTTATAAATCACTTATTAAATTATAAATTTATGATAAGTATTAAACAGAATACTTAATTTTAAGCCATAAGGTCTTCTATTAGAAAAATACTCTAATATAATGTGATACATCACTCATTTTTATAAATATAAATTTAATTATAGCCTTAATAAAAAATTTTGGAGGTGCATTACCAAGGCTAAATTTATATTTCATAAAATGAACAAATTTAAGATGTGTACCTTAACTTTATGTATTTCTGCACTCATATTCACACCAGCCATATCAAGATAAAGAAGTTTCACTACCACAGAAAATGTTGTGCTGCTTTATTCCAGTCGATAACCACTGGTCAAATTTGTCTGGAATCATATAGATTTTATGCTTTTGTGTCTGACCTATTTTACTCAACATGATATTTTGGAGATTTATCTATGCTGTTTTATGTGTCAATATTTTATTTTGTATTGCTATGTATTATTACTCTGTAAGTCAATATCATAATTTATCTCTTCTCCACTTTATAGATGTTACATCCAGTTTTTGCCTACAAAAAAAACCTGCTGTGAATAATTTTATATCGGTCTCTATTGTGTGAATACACACCCTCATTTATTTTTGGTACATACCTATAAATTGAATCACGATGTCACTGGGTATGTGTGCAGGTTAACTTTATAAGAAATTGCCAAACTTCTTTAAAATATAGCTGTAAATTTACTCTCCCACCACAAATGTATGAGATTTTCTTTGCTTCATAACCTCTTCAACACTTGCTATATTCAGTCCCCAATTTTCTTTCTTAAGAGATGGAGTCTTGCTCTATCACACAGGCTGGAGTAGAGTGGCACAATCATAGCTCACTGCAGCCTTGGACTCCTGGGCTCGAGCTATCCTCCCATATCGGTCTCCAGGTATTTAGCCATTTTAATTTTACCAGTTCTCTTGGATATGTAATGACATCTCACTGAGGTTTTTATTTTCATTTTTTCTGATGACCAACTATGTCATCAGGAGTGAAATCACTGAGTCATAAAGTCATTGCCTGTTAAACTGTTTGTTTGCTTTTTAAAGAAAGTATCAAATTGTTAGAGAATGGCTTTGTTATTTTACATTCCCATCAACCGTGCAGCAGTTAAGTAGTTTCTTTGCAGCCTTGCTAGCACTCAGTGTTGTCATTATTTTTTATTGTAACTATTCCATTGGGTATATATTGAAATCCCATTGGGGTTTTAATTTTTCATTCCCTAATGGCTAATGATGTTGACGTCTTTTCATGCTCTGATTTTCCAAACATATATTCTTTTCAGTGAAATGTATATTCATGTCTTTTGCCCACTTTCTAATTTGACTTTGTTCACTCTTAAGTTTTGAAAGTTCTTTATATATTCTTGCTACTAGTCTTTTTCAGACACATGGCAAGCAAAAGGGGAAGGAAGGAGCACCTTTTTACTGTCAAGTTGAGATGAAGGTCAAGGTTCCCCATTAGGCCTCCTTTGCCACACAAAAAGTAAATACTCTGTGTTTTTAAGATAAAGTAATGGATGCCAAGAAAGACTCAAATTTTTTTTATGTACTAATCATAAAAATGAACTATGATTTATAATTCTTCTCGTCCATTTTCATTATACATAAGTTAAGAAAACAAAATACATCATACTCAATAATAAGAATTCTGAGTAGAAACTCACCAGTTCACCTTAGCTATATTTTCCCTTTTGGGTTTCTTTTACTTTTTTTTCTCTCTCTCCTTTTTCTTTAAAAATTTTGGAGTGTGCAGAGGGATAAGGGTGAGGGAGCGTGGCAAGGAGAGGAGTTCAGATCAGGACAGGGAATGGAGGAGGGCAAGGAGTGAAGGGCACAACCCACAGCCTGGGAAAGAGAGGCATGAAACCCAGCGTGTCAGGTGGACGGATCATGGAATGGGGGGCCAGCGGAGGTTAAGGAAGGAGGGCCCAAAGGTAGGGGTGGGAAAAAGAGAAGAGGAGGAGGAGGAAGTGCGCGTGTGAAGAGTGTTAAGAAAACGACAGGACAGAGCGGGGAGGGGAAAAGCGGGCCGAGGGACAGGGTGAAAGGTGAGAAAGGAGGGTATGAGGAAAGAGGGTCCGGGGCGCTGGGGATTTGGGGAGACGATGGAGCGACGGGTAGAGCAGCTTGGGCCGAGCCGCGGGGGTGGAATCCAGACGCCGGGCGGGGGAGGGGGCGGCGGGGCGGCGGGACGGTGGGTGGGGGCCACCAGGCGGCGCCGGAGACCACCAAACATTACAGCGAGCGAGCCTGCTTCCTGGAGGGAGTGCAGACAAGGACCAGGAGCGGGAGCCGAGCCTCGCGGCCCGGGGCACGGCGCCGCCCGCCCCTCCCCGGCAGTGCCTCCCGACCCCCTGCCCTCCGCTGGGACATGGCCTGAGGCCCCGCCCGCCGCCCGGGACCCCTCCCCCACGCTGCCCCCGGACCCTCGCCCCAGGACCGCGGGGTCTCTTCCCGGCCCCGCCGCCCGCCCCGGCGAGAACAGGCCCGGCGGGCAAGGCGGCGGCGGACCGAGGGAGGCCTGGCCCGGCAGCGGGGAGAAGGGTGCGGCGCAGCCCGAGTTTCCCACCTTTTCTCCTGGCCCAGACGCGGCTGGGGCGGACGGGATCTCTCGCGCTCTGCCTCCTCCTCTTGCTTCATGGAGCCATGCGCCTGGGTGGAGGCTCCCGAGAGAAGCTGGCCTGCGGGCGGGCCGGACGAGCTGCGCGGACGGGGCGGGGCGAAGGAGGCCGGCAGGCGGAGGAGGAAGCGGCGGGGCGGAGGCGGCGGCGGCCGGGAAGAACTAGAGGTATTCCCCGGGCGGCTGGAGGACTGAGTCGAGCCGGGACCCGAGTCCTCCGGTATCCCAGCAGCCACCGGAGGCAGTGAGATAATGGAGGAAGAATGTAGGGAGACCTCCAGTGGACCGCACTCCTTCTAGCGAGCCGCGGAAACCATAGAGATCAGGGCTCAGCCGGAGGGCCGGCCCACTGCTGTCACGTGGCCTCCATCCGTGCGCTTTATTGGCTGGTGCTGGCTTTACGGGGTTGAATTTTGGACGCTGCCTGCCATTCGTGGGACCGAGTTTCAGGCAGCTGGAATAAAGAGAGACATCGGGGGAAAGCCGCGAGAAGGCCAGCGTCCCTGGCTGGGAGCAGAGCTAGCCGAGTAGGGCGCCCGGCTGTCAAACTGGCCGGCGCAGTGCACGCTGGGCCGCCCCGGAGCGGTCGCAGAGCCCGTCGGGAGTCGTAGTCCGGGACGGGCCCGCGGCATTGTCCGCGACGCAGCTCGGGATCCGGGTCGGGGTGTCGGCCGGGTTGCTGCCGGGCACCGTCGAGCGTTAGCCACCCAGCATTGAGCTGCCAGCGGCTGTTCTCCCTAAGCACCCTCGCTCACGTCGCCTCGCCTCGCCTCGCCTGACCGGCCGCAGCCTTGGATACCAGCCTTAAATCGAGCCGACTACGGCCCAGCCCCGCCCGCGGCGAGGTGCGCGGGGTTCGGTGCCAGCCGCTCGCCCCTGGCGGGGCCAGCCTCTTGATGCACCGGGGACGGGCGCCCCCATCCGACTCTTCGAGGGGCGGCAGGGCCCCATCTGTGTCTTTCGCTCTCGAGCCCCCAGCTAGAGTTGGCTTCAGCGGAATACCTACTGTGCGGGATTATTCAACAAGCCGATTGATCACATTCTTCAGCTCTAGCAGTGCAAAGGCTTCACTGAAAAAGAACATTACAAATTTTTTTTGAAAGAAATTTGGGGGTAAATTTAATTTTAAATACTGATTTTTGATAACATTTGATCTTATGACAGCATTTGTATTTTTAATTACAGATAGGATTACACTAAAAGTCATTTCTGACCTGCTCCCTTACCCTTATGGCTAAAATAAACTGCTAGGCCCTGAAGCAAAGGCGAGCCATGTTCTAGAGCAATGTCTTTCTTGTATTAAAATACGGCCCCATGCTCACAAAAAAAAAAAAAAAAAATTTTGGAGTGTAAACATATACATCATCTTAATTTGAGTCCTTATGTGTTGACGGTGTGCAGGGAAGAATGGGAAAGTAACTGTAAGTGGAGCTCAGAAAGAACTAACAAATTCATGAAAAAGTGACATTATTGCTGGTCTATTTTTTTTTTTAAATTTTCTGCTTCCTCACACTCTCCCATACTAAATGAATTATTTAGTGGGTTTTTTTTTTTGTTTTTTTTTTTTTTGTGATACGGAGTTTTGCTATTGTTGCCCAGGCTGGCACGATCTTGGCTCACCGCAACCTCCGCCTCCCAAGTTCAAGTGATTCTCCTACCTCAGCCTCCCAAGTAGCTGGGATTACAGGCATGCACCCCCGCGCCCGGCTAATTTTTTCTGTTTTTATTAGAGACGGGGTTTCTCCATGGTGGTCAGGCTGGTCTCAAACTCCCGACCTTAGGTGATACGCCCACCTCGGCCTCCCAAAGTGCTGGGATTACAGGCGTGAGCCACCGTGCCCGGCCGACAGGTGTTTTTTATGAGTTACAGACTATGTGCTTTCAGAATGAGGCAACCGATTTAAGGATGTAAGCATAATTTAAGGATATTGAAAATGATATAGGAATAAATTTTGTTTAGTCATTCATGGATTTATTCATTTTCAGATGACTATGTGTGTGAATATTTAAGAATTCTAAAACCGCATGGGATTACTTATAACTATATAGGAGCCTAACACGATAATGGAATCAGAATATACTTTGCTGAAGGGAGGAGGCTTTTAACTGAAAGTCTTCTCTCTACGTTTTTATGTCTCTAACAGGAATCCACTGAAGACCTACATTTCCCGGAAGGTTAACAGCCCCCTTCTCAGTTTTCCTGGTAAAGTGTTTTTATATTGGTAGAATACCTTCTGTCACACTCTATATTTTTCTTATCTCAAGTAGAAAAAAATTTTGCCCTTTTGCTTGGGACTGTTAACAGCCCTGGTAGTGGAAAGTAGAAGGAAATGATTCTGTGAATTTTCTGTTATATAAATTTTAGCCAGTTTAGGACTTTTGAATGAGGGGCCATACAGCCAAGGATTTAGGATTTCAGCTCAGGAAAGAAAACTGCATAGGTGTTTAATTGTGTCCTAGCCACTTATTAGCTGGGTAACTTTGAGCAAGTTTTATACATATCCTTCCCATGAGTTTTTCATTTCTAATACTGGCTGTGTAATACAGTATGTTTCATAGACTTGCTGTAATAATCGATGGAGTGTATCTAATAGTGTTTATTTTACTGTAACTGGGCCACAGTTAGGAAGTACTCAATTAAAATTAGCCGTCATTATTCCTAGTATTAATATGGTGATGAACAGCTAAAGAGCATTTAAATAATTATCATTAATATGGATAAATTTTGACCATACCTGAATAAATATTTATAATATAACTGTTGAGAGTATACAAGTTTAATATTTTAGGGAAATACAATGTCAAATTCTATCAAGCTCTATTTTCAAACTAAAACAATAGCAGTTTGCTTTCAGATATTTTGAATATTATTGTGACATTTCCCCCTTCTACCTTTCTGGGACCTTGGATACAGGAACCATGTAAGGGTAAATCGTTTAGGTCTTCGTTGTGGGACAGGGGTGATATACTACAGTTCCACAGGGGCTGAGCCAGGTTTCAAGGGTGAGATAGAGAGCTGATGGTAAAAATAACAATGAGAGCAAAGGCCAAAATGTATGGAGTATTTATTATGTGTCAGACATTTTTCACTAAGCATTCTAGTACAATATTTCTTCAGATCTATGAAGATCTTAATCTTAAGTAGTAAATGGTTTTATTATAACCACTATACAAAATAGAAACACTAACATAAAAAGGTTAAATAATCTGTTTAAATTATCTTGGATTATCAACCCAATTAGCTGTGTCCTCAGAACAGAAGCTGGTAGCACTACACTGAACTATACCACACTTGCAAGCCTTCAGAGGAAAATTCCCTAAGAGAAAATGGTATTTATGACTCAATATTTCTTCCCATACCCTCAGTGACTTACGTTATTTATTTACTAAATGCCAAAGCAGATAGTCCAATAGGAAATATGTAGCTAAATGGCCTGCGAAGAGAAGGGAATGTCAAATAACAGGCAAAATAGAATCTGACACCCTAGGTCTCAGCAAGTGTTTTGAATGGACAATAAAGAAAGTGACTAGAATGTAACCTCTGAAAAAATGTTGTGAAGCACCAATGGCCTTGAAAAAATCTAGGGAGCTGATGTAAAGGACATCCACTTCATAATGACAATTGTTGAACAAATTACTTGTTGGAGATGGAGTTGCAGACAAAACAAATATTTACCACTGCTTTAAAATACGTTTATTGTACTCAGGAGAAGAGTCTGGAACTGTGGTTTCAGAATGAGCTTATCCAACAGTAAGAAGAGGACTGGGGCATACCTTTTAAAATAATAATGATATATTTATAATCATCCTAGTGTGATTTATTTACCTTTTAGTAAATCAAGTTCTCAGAAAACTAAAGTAAAAAAATCTTAACATTACATATGCAGGACTTAATCTGAATAATCATAAATTTTCATAAACTTAATTTACATACCACACCATAGTAGCTGTGATATAGTAAATTAATAAGTTTTTTGTACTATGGTGTAACTCTTTCATCCTAAGAATAAAAAAGATTCTATTATGTCAAAAGACATGTATCTGGATGGTTAAAAAAATCCAATCATACATAACTGAAGAAAATGTAGGTATTTTAGTGGAATAAGAATGTGATATATGAAAACAGAAAAATAAATATCTTCAATGTTACTTAAAGAAACAGAATTAACAAAGATGTATCATGGAAGAGAGGATAGTTCTGTAAAAACACATAAAATAACTTTCAAAGATGAAAATTTTACATATGTAAAAGCATTTGTCAATGAAAGTAATAATAATTCCATTCATGCATTTGTTCATGTATAACCAATAACTTACTTGTGATGCCATAGAAAAAATTCAAGCATCAAACTGAAAAGCAGATTTTAATAGGTAAGAAACTAGTGGCCTTTAAGCTGACAATATATTTGTTTGAATAAAAAATATTATTATTTTAAAATAATCAAATTAGCAAAATACAAAAAAAAACATTTCACATGAATATCTTAATTTTTGGTATGTGTTTAAATATCAGGACATTTACTCATATTCTTCATAAACAGAGTCATAAGTCTTAGTAGATGCTGCCATGTGTAGGCGGGTTGTCTTCTCTAATTATCCTCAGTCCCCACCATTCCATAGTGTCCCCAAGTAGGGATATTACTGACATTTTTCATTTATTGCCATAATTTAGCTGTTGTTTTTCACAGTCAGCTTGCCTTCTTTATTTTAATATTTGTATACCACATAGGCATCTCAGTGTTTCACTCTTGCTATGAGACAGCCATAGATCTCTTTTGACCTAGAGTTTTTTATTCTCTTTGTTTTTCAAAATTATTTTCCCTAAAAGAATGGAACCTATGAGCCTCCAAATCGTGCATTTAAACTCAATCACCTCTAGAAAACAATGGTAAACTATTCAGAAAGAATGAAGAGAATAAGTGAATTCTCCAAACCCAGAGCTAATGAGTGCCAGCTCTGAAAATGAAGTCCTTGATTCTTGACATCTGGCCTAGTGTGCCTAGGAAGTATAATCAGTTACTCTGACTCAGTCATTTTAATAATTGAAGTAAACTACTTAACAGTTAAACATTATATACTTAAAATACTTAAATTAGCTTAGATATAATCGAAGAATTTCACTTTTTAACTCCAAATAATGAAGTGTTTGGTTGTAGGGTATTAGATCTTTCATGGAAGAAAGTAGTCCCGTAAGTCTAAGTACAAATTTCAAATGTAAAATAAAACTGATCAAGCCAGAGACCAGGTTTGGCAAAAAGTATCATTTGATATGACTTGTAAAATGTCAATTATTGTGAACAATTTTAAAAAGACCTCATCAGACCATATTGCATGTTCTCATAAAGGGGAAAAGAAGTATATAACAGCATGTACTGAATACTGTATACCCATTATACATCGGGCTTTTTAGATTCATTCTACCATTTAATTTTTATGGACATGCTGGGGATACGGTATTGTTATCATCCTTATTCTTTAGTGAGAACTGAGATTTACAAAAGAATAAGTAAATTTTCCAAAATTAATTACTGATAATGTGTACACAGACCATTTCCAAATTCATGAGATAATTGCTGTTTTAGTTACTTTGGGCTGTTAAAACAAATTACCGTAGACTGGGTGACTTAATCAGAAAACGCGTGTTCTCACAGTTCTGGAGGCTGGAAAATTTAAGACAAAGGTGCTTGCACATCCAGTGACTGATGAGGGCCTGTTTCTTTGTTTGCACATGGCCATTTTCTCATTGTATACTGACATGGCAGAGACTGAGAGAGAGAAAGAGATTATCTCTTTGATGTCTCTTCCTGTAAGAGTATTAATCTCATTCACCAACTAATTACTTCCCAAGGGCCCACCACTGAATACTATCACACTGGGGACTAGGGTTTCACCATACGAATTTTGAAGGCACATAGACATTCAGTTTTAGCAACTGCTAACAATATTACTCTTACACAACCATTTTTCTCACTTAAATATTTTCAATCAATTATTTAATAAATGGAAGCAGTGGGATTACCTTGGTATGACCATAAGAATTTATCTGGGAGATGTCTATGTGTGTGTGCATGTGTGTGTGTATGTTTATCGTGGGGAAGAAGTTTGTGAGTAGAAGCAGTGGATTGAGAATCTGGATAAGAAAATATTCTATTGATCCTGGTGATTTGAATGTACGATAGGAGCTGGTTGTCAACTGATTTAATCAGTGGGTATTTCAGTATGAGGCATAGTTGGTGACTGAGCTTTCATGTGGTAATCTGAGGTGAATATTGACATAGAATTAGAATTATAACTCACATAAATTCACACAAAAACATTTTTACATTGCCTACTGATTTTTATACATATAACCAAGAAATAAAGTATATGGTGGCCACCTTTCTCCAGGGATTTATAGGGTAATTAGATGAACTCTTCCAATAATTATAAAAATAAGAACTGAAATAACAAGTGCATATTCTGAATTACAAAAATCATTCAAAGTAACAAAAAGCTTATATCTTTGATCCCAATAACCTATTTTAATTTTCTTTTTAAAATAAAAGTGTTAGAGGCAAAAAAAAAGCCATAACTAAACCAAGTACAGATAAAGGAAATAAGAATGAGAAACAGTGTATGTGTGTGTGTATGTGTGGGCATGCCTATAGGTATAGTTGTGTGTGAATTTAAGTGAACACACTTACTAATTGAATAAAATACAGTAAGTGTTTGTATATGTATCTGCATGTTTGTGTCGTATTTTGGAGTTGTTATTCAGCTTTTACAGAATATTCAAATAGAAAACCAAATAAGATTGTCACCTATATTGCATAAATAACCAGAGAAAAGTCACTTAAGTGGCCATAAAAGAAATGTTGAACATAAATGCAGAGAATTCTATTTAGAGTAAGAATGCCCACATGTATTACAGTCCCCAAAAAGCAATTAAGCAGAAGAAATTGCTTTCAGAGCTTGGAAAGATTTAAAGTGTTACCATTAAAGTTTGAGTTGGATGTTACTCCATGAAGAGAATATATCCTTAAACACTGCTGCCCTGTGCATCAGAACATACTCACTCCGATATTGGACCTGTTGCTGGTTAGAAATGTCTTGACAAATGGGATCTAATTAAACTAAAGAGCTTCTGCACAGCAAAAGAAACTACCGTCAGAGTGAACAGGCAACCTACAGAACGGGAAAAAAATTTTGCAATCTATCCATCTGACAAAGGACTAATATCCAGAGTTTACAAAGAATTTAAACAAATTCACAAGAGAAAAACAACCCCATCAAAAAGTGGGTGAGGCCGGGCGCGGTGGCTCACGCCTGTAATCCCAGCACTTTGGGAGGCCGAGACGGGCAGATCACGAGGTCAGGAGATCGAGACCATCCTGGCTAACACGGTGAAACCCCGTCTCTACTAAAAATACAAAAATTAGCCGGGCATGGTGCGCACGCCTGTAGTCCCAGCTACACGGGAGGCTGCGGCAGGAGAATGGCGTGAACCCGGGAGGCGGAGCTTGCAGTGAGTCGAGATCGCGCCACTGCACTCCAGCCTGGGCGACAGAGCGAAACTCCGTCTCAAAAAAAAAAAAAAAAAAAAAGTGGGTGAAGGAAATGAACAGACACTTTTCAAAAGAAGGCATTTATGTGGCCAAAAACGTGAAAAAAAGCTCATCATTACAGAAATGGTCATTACAGAAATGCAAATCAAAACCACAATGAGATACCATCTCAGGCCAGTTAGAATGGCAATCATTAAAAACTCAGGAAACAACAGATGCCAGGATGTGAAGAAACAGGAACACTTTTACACTGTTGGTGGGAGTGTAAATTAGTTCAGCCATTGTGGAAGACAGTGTGGTGATTCCTCAAGGATCTAGAACTAGAAATACCATTTGACCCAGTAATCCCATTACTGGGTATATACCCAAAGGATTATAAATCATTCTTCTATAAAGACATATGCACATGTATGTTTATTGCAGCACTATTTACAATAGCAAAGACTTGGAACCAACCCAAATGCCCATTAATGATAGACTGGATAAAGAAAATGTGGCACACATACACCACGGAATACTATGCAGCCATAAAAAAGAATGAGTTCATGTTCTTTGCAGGGATGTGGATGAAGCTGGAAACCATCATTATCAGCAAACTAACACAGGAACAGAAAACCAAACACCACATGTTCTCACTCAGAAGTGGGAGTTGAACAATGACATGTGGGCACATGGAGGGAAACATCACACACTGGGGCCTGTCACGGGGTGGGGGGCAAGGGGAGGGATAGCATTAAGAGAAATACGTAATGCAGATGACAGGTTGATGGGCAGCAAACCATCATGGCACATGTATACCTATGTAAGAAGCCTGCATCTTCTACACATGTATAACTTAAGTATCATAAAAAGAAAGAAATGTTTTCATTAATAATATTTCTCACCTTTTCTAGATATAAATTTAATTCACAGTTGGGCAGGGCATGGTGCCTCACACCTATAATCCGAGCACTTTGGGAGCCCGAGGCACGCGGATCACCTGAGGTTAGGAGTTCAAGACCAGCCTGGGCAACATGGTGAAACCCCGTCTCTACTAAAAATACAAAAATTACTACTCGGGAGGCTGAGGTAGGAGAGTCGCTTGAACCCGGGAGACAGAGGTTTCAGTGAGCCCAGATCGCGCCACCATACTCCAGCCTGGGCAACAGAGCGATGCTCCATCTTAAAAAAAAAAAAAATCAAAATAAAATACAATAAAAAATAAAAATAAAATTTAATTCACAGTTGTAACCAGCCTAAATTAAAAATATTTCTTAAGAAAAAGATTGAGACTTTATGTTTTAGATAGTTGTGTTTTTATGACAGAATACCTACACACACACACACACACACACACACACACACACACACACAGACAAACTAAAGAACTTTTTCTGTTATATATCAAATCATACTTTTGTTAGTGTGTTTAATTTTATTTTATCTTTCTGTGTGTTTCTCTCATCAATTTATCTATTATCTGTCTCTTAATCAATCCATCCATTCATCCTTCCATTCAATCTTCTATTACTTTTAATATTTTTAAATAAACTGCCTTGTTGCTGTGATTTGTATTAATGTAGACTGGCAGAGCCTGAAATGACAGAAAGACTTTTATTTGCATGGAATCTCCTGGAATCAGCTAATAATTCACTATGGACTCTATTTACTCAGATTAATAACTGTGCAGAAATGTCATTACCTGAAGAGCACAAATCTGGGGACAGACAGAATTTTAATCATGGGCTCTGTCATGACTGATTGGTGATTTTGGTTGCTTAAATAATCCAGACTCTAGTCTCCTCAATTATAAAACAGGGAATAATAATGGACTTTATTATATGTTAAGCAACATAAATTGCTTTGGGTATTCAAAGAAGATAATTAATTGCCGTGGATTAGGAATCTGAAATAGAAGCTTGAATTCCCAGGAGTGAAACAAATTTAGCAATATTTGCATGACTATTGGAGAACCAGGCCACTTAACAGGTATACGTATGCCCCTCTGACTACCTCCTAGATATTTTCTGCCACGTCAGCAGTAGGCAGAGGACCAGTTGGCTTAGTGTCTATATTGTTTACATGTGGCAGCTCAAACAATGTGATATGAATATGAACTAAGGAGGGAGACACTTCACACTTAACATCTGTTCTTCAGTTTCCCCAACAGGATGCCTCCAAATGTGAAAGGAAACTCATCAATAACAAGCTGAGAAATGAGTCTAAACAACTGACATTTTGGAATAACATATTTGACATTTGTGAGGTCCACTGGTTGTGGCTTAATCAAGAAAGCCATCAGATATCCACAGTATCCATCTTTTAGGCATACACATCTAAAAAACACATCCATTTGTCTTATTTTAAATCCATATTTTAACGTTCAAAATATTATTTCATGGATATTTTGCCACACGATTATGCTAGTTTTTACTATTTTCTCCCCTAGTGTGTAAAAGTACAAGAGAATACAAATTCCTTGGCAAGTCAGTTATTTAGTCATTTCAAATTTTGATATTTCCAGAAGTCATGAGGATTCTTCTCTCACAGATGTGATTATAAAACACATTTGATTTACCAACTTTTAGACTTCTGTTTTCTACAAATTAGCTCTCTTGCGCAAGTGGAGAAATAGCATATGTATTTGGTACTAAGTTTCCCTCATAATTGTCAGAACCTCACCATTTATTGTTTTGTAGAAACTGGGATTTAAAAAAAATTAGACCATATGATAATTTTGATATTAATACTCTTCTGAAAGACTAAGTGAATGAACTAGTCATCTATATTCACTGATTAAAAACAAAATAAGACAAACTTATTCCATAGTACTTTGGGTTTGTCTAAAAAAATATTCGTTTATAAATACTATTTCTGAGGGACAATAGCATTTCTCTAGGATACATCTATGTACATGCAACTGAAGAAAATAGCTTTTAAATTTACTTTATCTCTTGTAGTAGTTTTATAGCTACATAAGAGTATTGTAATGCAAAAGGTACATCATAAAAACTGCTTTGTTATATGTTGTGTGCATTTGTATTTGTGTATTTACATATCGACAACGTACTCACTATTGTTCAGTAGCATATTTTATGATGAATGATGAAACCAGTACAAATTACATGTGAATTTGACTTATGAACTCTTCACATCCACTACCTCATAAACACTACAAGCTAGAGAATGTAGGGACTTGAATCCACAAACCACAGATGTCAAGATTAATCTATTACGTTTTGAGTACTTGAAACTGCCTGTACAATTGAATTTATAGCTGTTTTTTAAAAAAGAAAATAGAAATGAGAAGTGCTACAGCAATCATACTTTGTGATTTAAAAGAAAATAAATACTATTAGTTCATGCCCAGAAAAACAAAAACAAAAAACTATGGGAACTTTATTACCCTTATCTATACTCTCCCACCTGCAAGAAAAAATGCCTCTCCTCACAATGAATAACACTAGGTAGAGGAAATATTTCTGCTTAGTTTTAGAAGGAAGAGAAAAAAAATTTTTGAAACATTCATCGGTAAATAAGAATCTGAAGGAAAAGGCAATGTGGAGGAGGATAGGGCATGACTTCACTGCTGGGAGGGAGATGTAGCCTGGCAGGCTCACAGCGACTTTTTCATAGTCAGAGCCACCTACCCAAAGGTAGAAACCAAAGCAAGTATAAATCAGAAAAATAATCCTCAGTATATTACATTTAATGTCAAAACATACTTTGTAGAATATGTGAACTGCAGTCTTATTTTGAGAGCTAATCTAGAATTATGATTATATTTGGAAGCCTGATTCTGTTTGCCTCATTTGGTCCATTTGGTTGTACATTAAGGCTTGAACATAAGGTTTGTGATATAAAGCTGTCTTTAAATAGGCTCCATGACATTTAAAGTTATCTGCTGGGAAATAATCAACTTTTTCAAATTCATAATAGCCTTGCTTTGGGGAAATTAGTTTTGATTTGATGAGCAAATGGATCACTGAGATGGGGAGTAGTGATGGGAAGCAGTCATAGAAACCACTAGTTAACACATGTCACGGCTAATAATATCAGGTATTTTGATGCTAGTGTCAATGGGATCCAGCATGCCAGTTAATTTCAAAGAAAATAAACAACAACAAACACTTTGATTGTGTTATACAACCTGCAGTCATTATTTTCTATTAGCTGTTATCTACCTGTTTATCCATTGATTGATTCATCAGTGTGTGTATGTGTGTGTGTGCATTTCAGAATGGAATGAGTGATGAAAATTATATTCTTTCGTGCATAGATATTTGTAGAGGGCCTGCTGTGTGCCAGATATTAAGCAATTGCAATTGAGTAAAATAGTATTTAAAAACTACTCACAGCCTTCAAGGAGCACAGCGTCTAACTAGGGAACTCAGACAAGTAAATAGGCAATTACAGTGTAGGATAGTTCTGGGGATCAGAAAACAAAACCCCCAAATGAAAGCCTCAGCTGCAGCCTCAGAAACAAACATTTTTCTCTGACCTTCTCCAGTCCTCTTGTCTCTTAGTTCTATTCTCCCATAAGGCTGGCCATGGAAACTAGAATCTCTCTTCCACAACAGTGGGTCATAGTAGACAGAACCCCTAGAACCCCTTTTCTCCAAAGCCAGCCATAAAACCTATGGCTTTACTGCATTTTTTATTATGTCTTTATTTGTAAATCCCACATAAGTAAGCGATTCTCATGGAAGCTTTTCTTGACTTTGGCCACACTCTTGCATCCACAACCAACTTGTGCTACCAAGTGAACAAACTATGACTAAAGGCCTGTTCTTCCACTTTGCAGCTGCTCCTATCAGTGACAAATCAGCGTATTAGAACATGCATGCTGGCTGATCATTCTGATCAAGTCAACAAGCTTCACAACTTACTCAATGAGGTCGTCCGTGAGAACTTCACTGTTTTACGGGGACAGGAGCTACTTCTTTGCTGAACTGCATCACGGTTTCAACTGCTGAGGTTTTCTTCAAGCTTTTGCATTGTTTGGAATGTGAAGGGCATGGCCGAGACACACTTTGAGGTTCCCACTGCATTGTTACACCTCCCCCCTCACTTCAGGGCCAGGTGAGCAAGGGAAAGGAGCGTGGCCTGGGCGTCCCGCAGGGCCCCCACTAGGAAAGCTATGAACGCTCCCGCCTTGAGCACAGCCACAGGCCTGCTCTGGTCACAATGTGGGGTCGCCCCACGGACACTGGTGACCAGTGGGAGCATGACCAGGAGGTGATTACCTTCTGATCACCCTTGGCTTTATTTTTAGGTAACACCAAGAAGGACGCCATGAGAGCGAAGGCCGTTGGGTCACCGCCCTTTGCTCTCGCGCTGCGCGTCTCCCTGCCATCAACCGCCGCAACTGGCGCTGGGAGCGGTTGAGGGCGGCCGGCCTCGCGCTGGAACCTCGCCCGCCTCAAGGCTCCTGCGGCGGCACACGGGGCAGGCCAGGACCCGCCCTAGGAGGGCCCCGCTGGAGATGTGGAAATGGAGGGACGCGGCACCTGGGCGCTTCCTGGGGCCAGACAACGCCCCCTCATTGGAACCTCCATGACCCTGCCTCTGAGAAACCAGCGCGTCCGCAACGATCACTCCTAATTTTCGGTAATACAAACCTGCAGTCCATGCACTTAGGTAACACCCTTGCTGAAAGGTTTACCTTTGGAGGGTTTATCCTAAAGCAAAGTATCCTCAAATTGCATGTCTTGCATTCCCTTTGGATGGCATTGATTTCATTCCTGCTCATGCCTTTCAAAAAATAGTATGCCCTGTTTTCCTACTCAGTCTGGAGGTTCCATTAAAGAGTATTTCTGGCAAAGATTTTTAGACCTGAAAACACACTCCAAAATATATTTTCTTCTGACTCCATTCCCAGAGTTTTTCCTACCGCATTCAAATGATTTCTAGAAATGTTTTTGTTGTAGCCTTGATCAATTTCAGTCGATAAAGCAGCAGATAGTAAGGGAACAATTCCACGCTCCCCACCCCTGACTCTGCAACACAGTGCAGAATTCCAGTTGGCAATAAAAAACTAGTAGAGAAGGAACTCACTGACTTCAGTTTGTAATACCGTCAGAAGAAACTTTAATCGTCACATCCTTTCTGCTCATTTGCAGGATTCCTATCATCTGTCTCCACGTGATAACACTGAAGAGCCTTCACATTGATGCAGGCCCAGGGCCTCAAGTGCAGAGACTGAGAGCTCTGCAGGACACAGCATGGAGCCGCCATTCCTCTACTGGGTGGAGGAGCATGTGTCCTCTGAACAGGGGATCCAAGCCCTGAGATGTTCTTTCTCAGCTGTCAGTGCGGCCCAGGACTTTCTGTGGGGATGCTCAGACAGCGGGCCGGAGGACTTTTAGCCACCACCTCCCATGGCCAGTCTTCACAAATTACCCTTGGCTAATTTGACTGTCTCTCCTCCTGGGGTCTAGGACTTCAAACATGTACAGAAGCGATTGCAGAATTAAGACAAGACACTTCCACAATATATTTTTTGTATCACTGGCTCAGAAAAAGACTCATTCAAATCCTGTATCAAAGCCACGTGTGAGAATCTTGAGAAAGCATCAGCTGACTGACTTGACAAGGGAGGAAGCAACCAAAAATTCTGCGCTTCTTCAGTATCTGAGTATGATATTTTGCTTCAACATCCCTCTTAGATGAAGTTATTGATTGAAAATCATTTAAGTTTGCCCCATGGTAAAAGATCAAGTCCTCAGAAAGATCTCCAAAGTGTTTACGGTTTGTTTTGTTTTGGTAAGTTTACCATGATTTTGCTTGAATTGCTCTCCGTTGATCTTCTCAGCTAAGATGGAGGTAGAGAGTTGCACAGTGGAAGAGGGCTGCATGTAAGAAGGCAGTTCTGTCTCAGAGGACAAAAGGCCTGGGAGCACCCAGACAGACAGTCACTGCATGGAGGTCACTCCCCTCCCAGTGGCCACTGTGGAGACATTTCACAGAAATGCTTGCTGGACCATTCAGGTTCAGAGTTGGGACAAAACCGAGAACTCATGGGGATATTGGACAGGAGTTAGGAAATGACCTTCTCACACAACTGGGGCAGTGGGGGAGAACCCTGGGCTTGAGACTTGCAATCCACCACTTGCCCCTGCCCCTGCCCCTGCAGTGTGGCCGCTGTTACCTTTTCCTGCAACTCTGCCTTCTTGAGTCCAAATGTCTTCGAAAGGGGCAAATGCTCGTAAGTGCCGACAGGGTGTGTTTCAGTGAATGTTTGCAGTGTGCACCGGTCTGGCTGAAGGCCTCTTCCCTTCCCCAACACCCTCCCATCGTGCAAAATTACCCTGCCCAGCAGGGAGTGACTTGTGTGTCTCAGAAGATTTTGTTGCTGTGCTCTGAGTTCTCACTCCTCATCTCCTTTGACCAGTTTCTTCTAATACTCCCCTTGTTCACAACACAGAACATGAGTGCTCTTTCCTATCATTTTGACACTAATAAACGGACAGTGATTCTCAGTGTGGAAATGAGAATGAAGTTTTTTTTAAAGACAGGCTACAATAATTCCCATGCAGAGAACCACATGCGATGACACTGGATTCCAGACAGCAAGAACGTATGGTGAAGATGAGGCCAACAGTGAGCTGAGAGAGGCCAGCCAGGGTGTGTTTCAGTGAAGATGAGAAACAATCAGATAACACCTGTTTCCTCCAGGAAAGAAAATGTGGCCAGGGAAAAGAGATGGGAGGAAGGCCGGTCATTGCCTATTCCACTGTGCACAGTTTGAATTTGGAGCCATGAAAAGTATTGCTTGGTTAAATTAAAATCATTCAAAAGATAAAACATAAATATTTAACACCAGCACAATATGCTGGGAAACAAAATGAAAGGATTTCTGGTCTCGGTGCTGTAGGTCACATAGCCACTCTTTCCTGGATTGAGGCTTTCCAGCAAAGGGGCTGGGACGTAAGGCTGGCCTGCTGGTGTGGACAGAGATTCCAGCAACATGCATGACCTGGGGGTACAAGGATTGCTTCCTAAACAATGATAAGCACACAGCCACCTAATAGTCTGGATCGGCTGAGACCATCCTGATTTCAAACACCCAGTCCCCTTGCCTTCCTAAGAACCCCTGTGTTTCTCAGACTGAAAATGTGTTTTGAACTTTGTTCACGAAGTGAGGCCGCTGTTGAAATTCGTCAAGACTGGGAAAGAGCCAAAGTGGGAAGGAGCATGGGTTGATTGGCACAAAAGTAGGTCTGCTGATAAAGAATGGAAGTAAAGGGGCCATCAGGTAGAAGCTTTTGCTGTGAGTCAGAAGGACAATTTAAAAGTTGCCTAAAGAGGCACACGCCATCTCTGCTGCTGCCTTCCAGTTGGAAGGGAAACTCAGGTTCTTGCCTAATGGCCGAAGCCCTTCACAGAATGTCCCCCACCCCTAACAGCTGCCCACTGCCCCTCCCCCTCTGCAGAATGTCTGGGGTCCTATGTTCCAGGAACCTGTTTACTTTCAAATTTTCCTGTTTCAGTTGGACTCAGGAGCATCTGGTGAGCCAGGTCACTCTCTGGGTCTTACCCTTGGCTTTTCTCATTGTGGAAACTGCCAGACAGCGGTAGTCAGTGCCCAGCCTGAGGGGATGGCTTCAAATGGAGGTAAGCCTGTAGGGATGGGGGCATTATCTGAGTCTGCCATGCCTCAACTCCTTAGGAATTCAAATTTGACACTGCCCCGGGGACAGTTGATAGGGCTGATGTTGAGGAGGGAGGGAAGACTGGATGTCCCCAAGGACATCACACCTGGGGATGGCCATGGCACCCTGAGTCTGTGTTTAGGGAGGACGGCCCCTTAGAGGTGGAACAAGATGCCTGGGGGAATACACCGTGTAGGAGAAAGGACAGAGTGGATGGATTGATCCTTTCTAGAAGGAGACAGGTCACGTCATTGTGTGTTTGTAGGGAGTGGTGGGATCATGTTGTGCTGGTGGCCCCGGGAGGATGATAGGCAAGCCTGAACCCTGTGCCATATCTTCAGGCACCTGGAAGGTGCCCTTCCATAGTGTTCAGAGAGATTTGGACTGGAGTTTTCTAGATCTTAGGGAGGAGTGGGGAGAAGTGGTCTCAGCCAGAAAACTGTTGGGTGGGTTGGCTGTGACAGAGCATGTAGTGACAGCCCCTGGGTGGGCGAGGCTGGGGGCTGCTGTAACTGCCACAGCCCAGAGCCCCTCAGCTCTCTCCCTAGAGATGGCTTCTCCATCAGTTCAGGTAGCTGTTGGCTTTGATTTAACAGGGGTGGGGGCAGATGAGGAAGTTCAGGCAACACAGGGCCTGGGTTTCCTGAGTTGTTCTGAATTGTTTGCCCTTTTGTGGAAGCTCAGGTCTTCAGACCCACTTCCTCTTGTCTGCTAGCTCATGGCCTGTCCTCTGCACTTTGTGTTACTGTGGAGATGAAGAATTTGCTCCTATTCCATTTATACTACCTCATGAACGGGGGGCAGGTGTGGATTCTTGCTGGTTCTCAGTGGAAGGGTCTGGAAAGGCTGGTTTCCTTTTCAGTAGAGGAAGGAGAGTAGCGCACGAATAGGAAGATGGTTCTCTTATTATTATTATTCAAGTTAGGATACGTGTCCTGAATGATGAGGTGCATGTGCTGTATCCCTTATTCCCCTTGACTAGAGACTGCATGAGGTCCTATTGAACAGGGATGAGTTCCAGACAACTTTGCCTCACCCGGCCCATGGCCCAAGAACCCCTGGTTTTTGGTTGGTCACTATGTTCAGTCATTGGGAGCTCAAAGGAGAAGGGCCAGGGATGGGCTCCTTGTCCCACTACCTATTGTAACATGACCAGCAGCTGTGAAAATCCCTAGACACCTCCCCTGTTAGCTCTGCTGCTCGCCATTTGCTGGCTGTGTTCTAATCGTGTGTGGCTTTTGCTGGCTATGCAGTGACACTGTCTCAGGGGACTCCACCACTGCCTCTCAGACCTGCTCCCTGGGAACAGAGCTTCCTGAGTGGCAGCCGGGACCATCGAGTACTGCGGAAAGGGTGGCCCGAATCTGACCCCTATTTAGCACTTGCTGTGGGTGGTGCCAGGACAATCACTTGCATGCTGGGCATGACAGTTATGGATTATCTTCAGGGTTCCTAGGGCGCTGGCTTGGGAAAGATTTCCATCCAGTGGTTTTGTTTTGTTATGTCTGAGCTGGGAAAGAAAGGGGTTTACAAGAGCGTCAGGAAAAGGAAGATTGAAGAGGAGATGGGGCCATAATATTCGGAAGCTTCTGGCTTCCTGTCGGCCTTCTGAGTGCCGAGCACTGCCCTGGGGTAGGCCCCTCACCTGTTGCTGAGCACGCTGAGGACCACCAAGCCGCTGAGAGACTCATCCCTGACCCATGGCTTGGGAGATGCCTGTGAGGCTGACAGGGTCTGCCAGGGACACCCGAGGGAGACCCTCGGGCAGCGAAGGCTTGGCTGTTACTTCTTGGGAGACAGGGGTCAGGGAGTCTTGGTGACCGGGGCCAGGCTCTCTAGTGGAGCGACTCTCCGTGGAGGAACAGAGCATCCGATGCACACTCAGGGACATTTGCAAGCTGCAGTTTCCCTGTCATACGCCCTTAGCTGTTGGGACTCCCCTCTGATTCCCCAGTGACTAGTGTGGACCTGGAGACCCCAGCTCATTCACCTCTTTCCTTTGTCTCCACAGCATACCCAGCGCTGGGACCGGGCGTGACCGCGAACCCTGGCACCTCCCTGTCTGTGTTCACGGCTCTGCCCTTCACCACACCCGCTCCCGGCCCAGCACACGGGCCGCTCCTTGTGACTGCAGGGGCTCCTCCAGGCGGCCCTCTGGTGCTGTCTAACTTCCCCAGCACACCTCTGGTGACAGAACAGGATGGCTGCGGCCCGAGTGGGGCCGGGGCTTCCAACGTCTTTGTCCAGATGAGGACAGAGGTGGGGCCTGTGAAGGCCGCTCAGGCGCAGACCTTGGTCTTAACTCAGACCCCCCTCGTCTGGCAGGCTCCAGGCGCCCTCTGCGGAGGTGTTGTGTGTCCACCTCCCCTACTCCTGGCAGCTGCTCCTGTGGTGCCTGTTATGGCTGCCCAGGTGGTTGGGGGCACCCAGGCCTGTGAGGGAGGCTGGTCCCAGGGCCTTCCTCTTCCACCACCACCACCACCGGCTGCCCAGCTGCCCCCCATTGTGTCCCAAGGGAATGCTGGGCCATGGCCACAAGGGGCTCACGGAGAGGGCAGCCTGGCTTCCTCCCAGGCCAAGGCCCCGCCAGATGACTCCTGTAACCCCAGGAGTGTCTATGAGAACTTCCGACTCTGGCAGCACTACAAGCCCCTGGCCCGGAGGCACCTTCCCCAGAGTCCTGACACCGAAGCGCTTTCGTGCTTCCTCATGTGAGTGTCCTGGGGGCATTGGAGCTGGTCCTGCAGCTCACACGTAAAGAGGCTGCTGGATGGACGGGAGGTCACGCTGTTCAGGGGAGCTTGCAGGGCGGTTGTGAGGGTGATGGGCTGCACTATGGGAAGGTACATTTTCAACAATATTAATCTGGCTGCGGCTCAGGACAGACTGTCAGGGGCCTCATCTCAACTGCCCGTCACTGTCTCGTGAGTCCAGCCAATCCTTACTTTCAATAATTTTCACAACAATGTTTACAGAAGACCCAGGTCAGAGAGGGTTCCTGGTGTGACGTGAGCTACGGTTTGGGTTTAGGTCTTTGAGTACACACCCCAGTGCCTCCCCTTTAACCCAGTATTGATGGCCAGGAGCACCTCACATGGGGCCGGGGGAAGGAGCTGCAGGGCCCAGCAGGAACCTGGCACATGCCCGCAGTTCCGCTGAGGTCCAGTTAGCACAGCGGTGGTGGAGCCTGCACAGGGGGATGGTCTTGGGTCCTGCACTGGGGCCGATGCCGGGCAGGTATTTGCATCTTCACCCTCAATCCCTCCTAGAAAAAGGGACAATGATGCTTCATTCAGAGGATGGTGAAGAGATAACTTGAGCTCACATATGACATGCATAGCACAGTGCCTGGCACATGCTATGACACATTACATGATAGCAGTTATGATTACTGTCCCCATTACTATCATTATCAAGACTAGGCCATCTAGGAGAGCACTCCCCAAAGCCACGGGCTCCAGTGATAGCTCTGAGTGCACCATGAGTCCAGCAGCCCAGGGCCATGGACTGTGGTGACTGTGAGGCAGCAACGTCAGCATCTGGGAGAGTTTGTGGTTTCATTCCCAGTCCCTGCCTCTCTCCACCCTGCGGTGCCTCTGTGACCCTGTGTTTCCCGCTGATGAGCAAACGGGAGCTTGAGCACATCCACCGTGCAACACACTGGCCGTTCCCCTAGGGAAGTCCCCTGCCTGGGGTGTAGGTGGAAGGTGGCCCCATTTTCATCCCCCAAAATCTCGCTGTTCCCGCACCCTGGAACTGGTTGCATTCCTCCTTGGAGCGGAGTCCCGGTGCACTGGGGACCCTGATTCTTGGGGTGGAGCTGCCCCAGGCTCACAGGCCTTTGCCATGGCTCCTGTGGGAATGTGGGATCTGGACCTGCTGCTTGCAGTGGCGTGGACACCGCTCTGCTTTGGTTCTGGACGTGTGCTCCTGCTCCTCATGCTCCAGGGCCCTGAGGCTACGTCCCCAGGGGCTGCCTTGCTCCAGAGTCCCCAGGAAGCCGGTTAAATGCTCAGTCTTGGGGCCCTGGAACCTGCACTTTAACCCTCACCCCCAGGTCATTCTGTGTGCACGCTGTCTCAGTCAGCTCAGGCTCTGCCGTAACGAATGCCGTAGACTGGGTGCTTTATCAAGACACATTCATGTCTCCCAGTTCCAGAGGCCAGAAGTCCCAGATCAAGGTGACAGCAGATTGGGTATCTGGTCAGGGCCCTCCTCCTGGCTGGAGAGAGCTGTCTCTGGCTATGTCTCCTCGTGGCTGAGAGCAAGAGCCCTGGCGTCTCCTTCTGCCCTTATCAGGGCTTGGATTCCATGACTGGGACCCACGCTCATGACCTGCTTTAACCCTGATTGCCTCCAAATACTGACACACTGGTGCTGAGGACTTCAGCACAGGAATGTTGGAGACACACATGTTCCACCCATAGTACTGAGTCCACTTCTCAACACTGAGGACTCGAGGGGCAGTCGGAGAGGCCACTTGGTAGCTTGTGTTGATGTTTGATCTTGGGGGTGTGTCCTGGGGCCTGAGGAGCCCACATGGGGGAGAACAGGACAGGGACAGATGGCAGGACAGGTGTGGGGAGGACAGGGGCCAGGTGTTGGGACCAGGTGGGCTTGGGATGAAGGGTGGGCTTATAGACTGAGACTGACTGCACTGGTTTACAGCCCAGTTCTCCGATCCCTGGCCCGGCGGAAGCCCACCATGACCCTGGAGGAGGGACTGTGGCGGGCCATGCGGGAATGGCAGCACACGAGCAACTTTGACCGGATGATCTTCTACGAGATGGCGGAAAAGTGAGTCTGGGGTCCTGGGAGCGGGGCCCGCGTGGCAGGGTGAGAGTGAATGACAGAGGCCCGGTGGCCATGGTGGCTTCTCAACGTGGAGTATGAGGAGGGTGTGGAGAAACCCAGGACACTCTGGGCCCCTGGCTCCCTCAGGAAGCTGCTCCTGCCACCTAGAGTGTTCTGGGGTCTCTGTCCTGGCCTATTGGGAAGCACCCCCTGCCTGGCCTGGGGCCATCCCTGCCTTGACACTGGAGGTCATGGCAGGAGCAGCCAGCATCACAGACCAAAGTGGGTCACCTCCAGCTGTGGGGATGGGGAGAAGGGGCGCTAGTGACTATGGACAAGAGTAGGGTGCAGGCTCCTCACAGCAGTGGCCAGAAGTCGGTTTTCTCCCATCCCAGCCTGGCCAGGGAGTTGGGTTGGGGAGACCTGCACCTGGGACACCATGGGACCCATCTCTGGCCTGACTGCCTTTGCTCCTGGGCAGTCCCCTCCATGAAGGCAGACAGATAGACAGCAGCCTCAGGGGAAAGGGGCCCTGTCCTCTGAGCTCAGCTTTTGCTTCCTCCTGACCAGGGGTCTCCCAGGCCTCGTGCCCCTGGGTTATCTTTCAGGGGCCCACAGTCCTAGCCTCAGGACTCCTGCATCTGGGCATCATCCCTGATGCCTTCTGCCATAAATCCCACCCCTGGCCAGCTGAAACCTGGAGGAGGGGTCCCCCGAGACCCTCCTGGACCTCGTGGCCCTGAGTTGAGTCAGGAAGCCCCGTTGATGCCATGGGCTCTGCAGGGGCCGGGTGAGGGAGGGTGAGCCCAGAACTCTGGGAGCAGCTTTCTCCTGGGACTGGGGGATGGGACACAGTGAGGGCCTGGACAGCCCACCCGAGGCACTCCCTCCCATCCCTGCCCTCGGCCGCTGCCTGGTCCTGGGGGGAGGGGGCCTGGACCCTCTCAGCACAGCCTGGGCCTCCTTCACCGCCAGGTTCCTGGAGTTTGAGGCTGAGGAGGAGATGCAGATTCAGAAATCGCAATGGATGAAGGGGCCCCAGTGCCTGCCTCCTCCAGCCACACCGAGGCTTGAACCTCGAGGACCCCCGGCCCCTGAGGTGGTCAAGCAGCCAGGTATGGCTTCCCACATTCCCACAGGAGCCATGGCAAAGGCCAAAGGGGCCAAGGGAGGCCACTGTCCCCACACCCCATGCTTCCCTTCGAGAGGGGGATTTGCTCCCTCCAACAGGACAGTTTCCAGGAGCATATGTTCGGTATTGACCTGGTCAAGTTTCCTAGCTACTCTCTCCCCTCGCCTGTCCAAAACTCCACATATGCTCTGCCCAGGAAGCAGGGATGAGCGGGGAGAGTACACGGCATATTGGTGGCTCCAAACTTCCTCCCAAGCGATGCTGTCTCAGATGTGCCCCTCCTGCCTCCTCCGGGGGTGCTGCGGTTCAGGTGGTCCTGACCCAGCTGGGACCCACTTCACATCCCCAAGCCCTGCCCTCCCCTGTGTGGTGCCAGCAGGAGGAGCGGCCCTCACCACGCCCGTCCTCCTCCCTCTCTGCCTCAGTGTACCTTCCCAGCAAGGCCGGCCCCAAGGCCCCGACTGCCTGCCTGCCACCACCCAGGCCCCAGAGGCCAGTGACCAAGGCCCGCCGGCCACCACCCCGGCCCCACCGGCGAGCAGAGACCAAGGCCCGCCTGCCACCACCCAGGCCCCAGAGACCAGCAGAGACCAAGGTCCCTGAGGAGATCCCCCCAGAAGTGGTGCAGGAGTATGTGGACATCATGGAGGAGCTGCTGGGGCCTTCTCTCGGGGCCACGGGGGAGCCCGAGAAACAACGGGAAGAGGGCGAAGTGAAGCAGCCACAGGAAGAGGACTGGACGCCCCCAGACCCGGGCCTCCTGAGCTACACTGACAAGCTGTGTTCCCAGAAAGACTTCGTCACCAAGGTGGGCTGGCCTGGAGTGCTGGGGTCTGCTGGATTCCAGGGGGTGGCACTCCCAGGTCCTTGGAATTAAGCTCTGTTCCTTAGCTACTCAGCAGTGTGTGTATTTCCAAGGATTTGAGTGTCTGTGTATGTGATTGTGTGTGTCTGTGTGTTGCTGTGTGTTTGTGTCTGTGGTTTGTTACTGTGTGTCTTTGTGTGTCTGTGTGGGTGTGAGTGTGGAGTGTGTACGTTACCTGTGTCTGTGTCTTTTCCTGTGTCATATGTGGGTCTGTTTGTGTGTCTGTGTGTGGTTTGTGTGTCTCTGTCTGTGTGTGTGTAGCTACCAGGTCTGTGGTCTGTGTCTGTAGCTGGTGGTCACCATGATATGAGACAGCCCCAGGAGGGTGGGGACGGGGCGCTCGCTGCTTTCTGCATCTCCTCCAGGTGTCCTTGGCTCCAGGTTACTCCCTGCCCAGGAAGCTCACGCCTTCTTCCTTCTGTTTCCAGGTGGAGGCCGTCATTCATCCCCAATTCCTGGAAGAATTGCTTTCCCCAGATCCACAGATGGATTTCTTGGCCCTAAGCCAGGAGCTGGAGCAGGAGGAAGGACTCACCCTTGCCCAGGTACCCCAGGGGCAGGAGGGACCTGGCACACAAGGCCCACCTGATTGTCTAATCCCCCCCGCTGGGGATGCTCGGCTTCTTGGGGAGCCACTCTGGAGTGGGAAGATGCAGGTTCAGAGGGAGTAGGATGGACAGGAGCCAGGGAGGGGAGTCAGCATGCAAGCTGTGGTGAGGCCCAACGGGAGGCCCGGCAGAGCCACACCCTCTCTCTTTGACATAAAGCCCAGCTGCCTCAGGCTTCCCTACCTGCCGCCTAAGTGCCCTGGTCTCCACCACCCTGGGCCCCGCTCACACCTGGGGCAGTGCCCGTAAGTGCCCCCTTTCCTCCCGCAGCTAGTGGAGAAGCGCCTCCTACCCTTGAAGGAGAAACAGCATGCGAGGGCAGCCCCTAGTCGTGGCACAGCCCGGTTGGACTCAAGTTCTTCTAAGTTTGCAGCTGGCCAAGGAGCAGAGAGAGACGTCCCTGACCCCCAACAAGGGGTTGGCATGGAAACCTGCCCACCCCAGACGACTGCCCGGGACTCTCAGGGACGAGGCAGAGCACACACTGGCATGGCCAGGTCCAAAGACTCTGTTGTGCTTTTGGGATGTCAGGATTCCCCTGGGCTGAGGGCTGCCCGGCCAACCTCTCCTCCCCAGGACCACAGACCCACCTGCCCTGGCGTGGGTACCAAGGATGCCTTGGATCTCCCTGGAGGGTCTCCTGTCAGGGAGTCACATGGGCTGGCTCAGGGGTCAAGTGAGGAGGAGGAACTCCCCAGCCTGGCCTTCCTCTTGGGTTCCCAGCACAAGCTTCTGCCCTGGTGGCTACCCCAGAGCCCTGTCCCTGCCTCGGGCCTTCTCAGCCCAGAAAAGTGGGGACCCCAGGGAACTCATCAGTCCCCATCTGCTGAGAGAAGAGGCCTCAACCTAGCACCTTCTCCTGCCAACAAGGCCAAGAAGCGACCTCTCTTTGGAAGCCTGTCCCCTGCTGAAAAGACACCCCACCCAGGGCCTGGGCTCAGGGTCTCTGGGGAGCAATCCCTGACTTGGGGGCTGGGTGGCCCCTCACAGTCTCAAAAGAGAAAGGGTGACCCCTTGGTCTCCAGGAAGGAGAAGAAGCAGCGTTGTAGCCAGTAGGGGCTTCTGAGC
The DNA here is from genome assembly GCF_000001405.40 of Homo sapiens. NCBI lineage: Eukaryota > Metazoa > Chordata > Mammalia > Primates > Hominidae > Homo > Homo sapiens. The sequence goes on from NC_000010.11 coordinate 87,366,937, forward strand.
AGGCTCTCTGGGGCCGATCCCCAAGGATGGGGCTCTGGCATCCGATGCCCCAAAGCGGTCAAAAGCTTCTTCTCCCCCAGTGCTGATCTTGCTGGGCCTTAGCTTTGGAGGGTAGGGGAGGGAGGGGAGGGAGAGGGTGGCCTGAATGGGGAGGGCAGGAAGGGAGGGTCTGGGGGGAAGGGGCTGGGGAGTGGGGGTGGGAAGCAGTGTGTTGGGGGCCTCGTGTGTAAGTGTGAATAAATGTAGTTGTCTTGGAAAATGCTCTTGGGGCTGCTGCCTCTGTCCTCGGTGCTGTGCTGCTCCGTGGAGGGTGTCTGTGAGGGAGGGCAGAGGAACTGGCAGATGCCAGGCTCTGGGAACCCACAGAGGCCGGCCCCACTCTTTCCTCCTGACGTAGGGAGCCCCTTCAGATGCTCCAGGGACTGACAGATGCTGAGGAAGCCCTGATCCCTCCCACCACCCACTCACAAGGCCCTGCCTGCTTTAGGGAGGCTTCTTGGGGCCCCCTCATCGTTATCAGCATCCCTGGAAAATCCTGGGATTGGAGAGAGCTGGCTGGCTCTTGTTCTGCTCGGTGGGAGCTGAGGAGAAGGCAGCCGCCTGCAACATGGACATGGGGAGAGGAGGCTGCTCCTGCTTAACCCTCATCAGGAAGAGCGCGGGCACTGGGCTGAGGGGAGACGTTGAGGTGACCATCCACACAGGTGTGTTTGGGATACGATGATGGGTGGGGAGCAGGGGAAGTCCTTCTGCCTGTTTCTGGGCAGGAGAGAGTCTTGTCCAACTAGCTAAAGCAGATGCTCCTTGCTGTGGCCACAGGGACTGGCCTCGGGGCCCTCAAGGTCCTGCATGGAGCCCCCCACAGCTATGATTCCCTTCCCATATGATGACTGAACTCATGTGGAATTGATGTAGACACAGATTTACATTGGTTTCTAAAACAGTTCCCTCCCAACACACCATCACCAATGGGAACAAGCATGTCCAGTCCATCAGGCGCAGGGTGGGGGTTTCTGCTGGTTCCAGGGCCCGGAGGAGCTGGGGCCCAGGCCAAGAGGGGCCGAGGGTCAGCCGCCCTTCTGCCAGGCACAGACCCCAAGGGCAGAGCAGGGGCTGCCTGGGATGTGGCATTGGCTGTCTGGGAAGTGCCCTGGGAGTTGGGGGCTAGGTGTTCGCCAAAGGGAGACTTCCAGAGTCTATGAGTGAGATGAGGACTGCATCAGGAGAGGGACCGAGGCTGGGGAGGATGCTCTGCTCTTTCCCAGGTTGTCCTGTCTTCCCAATCTCTGCTGAACTGCCCTCACCCCATGGGCCAACTCTGCCCCCCTTACCCCTAACCCACCTCTTAGAATCTCAGATCCCAGCGTGGACAGGACCCGGCACCCACCCTGGTTCCCTCCTGGCCAACACCTTCTTCTCCACGGTCTGAGTTCTGATTCCTCCCCCAGGGCGCTTATTGGCTCAGGACCCCTGTGACTGCCAGGGCACTGGTCCCAGCACTGCCTGCGTGCAGAGCTGTGGTCACGGCCCTGGGGGCTGGCCCAGCAGCAGAGGCTGGTGGGGCAAAGCTGTCTGGTACACGGTGGCCTGGCCCCTCGGCCAAGTGACAAAGGGAGCCATGTTTGGGTCCTCTCTGGCCCCATCTGCCCACAGAACACAGCAGTCAGCCTGACAGATGCCCCTCTGCCCCGTCCCTTCTGCTCGATGTGGGCAGTGTCGGAGGCCTGCTGTCTTCTGTGGCCTTTGGGAAGGAGAGTTTATCTTGGCAGGGCTTCCCCAGCTCAGTGCACGTCAGGCCCTCGGGGAAAATGTGGGGAGCGAAGAGTCACTGGTGGGTGATGTGGGCAGCTCCCGTGACTCCTCTACATTCACGGCCATCCTCAGGAGATAAGGTAGCACTGCCCCTTTGCAGGGTTTAGGAATGTTAAGTGAGCCGTGTTTGAAGGGAACATGGTCCATACTCTGGCGTGTGTGGGTGCCCAGCCAACTTCCTCACCTAAGGGTGAAAGTGACACCTTGGGGCTCCTGCTGGTTACCCCACTGGCTGTTGTCTATCCCACTGTCCCTGTCCTTGTCTTGGCTGAGCCATTCCTAGGAAGCAGAACTTGTGCTTCCTCCACCTCTGTGTCCCACCTGAGCCCTACAATCTGCCCCTAAATGGGCACAGTGGGGCTGACTGGGGGGCTCTGGTAGACTGAACATACGTCCCCCGCCCAGTTCCTGTGCTGAAGCCCTAACCCCCAACGTGATGGTATTTGGAAATGGGGCCTTTGGGAGTTATTCAGGGTTAGAAGAGACCATGAGGGTGGGGCCCTAATGATGGGATTAGGGCCCTGGTAAGAAGCAGAGACCCCAGAGCTCTCTCTCTCCCTGACACGAGGACACACTGAGAAGGCGGCCATCTGCAAGCCAGAGAGAGAGCCCTCACCAGAACCTTGCCCACTGGGATGCTAACCTCGGACTTCCAGCCTCCAGACTGTGACAAATACATTTCTTTTTTTAATATGTGCCACCACCCCCAAGTCTATGGCCCTTTGTCCGAGCAGCCCTATGTGACTAGGACAAAGTCCATAATCTCAAGAACTTCCTTCATGACTGGTATCTGGAAACCGTGCATCAGAGCCACGGGAAAGAAAGGCTCAGCCCTTTACAACTGTCAGCACACCTCCACCCCAAGTGCAGTGTATCACACATGAACCAGGAGAGCCTGGGACACAGTGAAAAGGAATCTGTAAATACCCATGATGTCATCGCATCCACACTTGGGGAAGCCATGCAGCTTGCTCACAGCAGGTGCTGGGGGTGTGCTGAGGCTCTTGGTCGGCTTGGCCTCCCTGCTCACACACCCAGGTCACTCTCTGGGAACCAGTGCGGCTGGGGTGGCCCCTGGCAGGTTTGCCTCCAGAGACCCCTCCCTTCACCATTGGATGACAGATCCCCGAAGAAGCCATAGCCTCCTGGGAAACTCCATCTGACAACGTGAGCAAGGCTTGCCCCCGTTAGTGAACATGCTGTGCTTTCTGACAGCTATGAGGATGGACTTGATCCAGGTGGCTGCCCTTTTGTAGCTCACTTTGATTCTAACTTCAGCGTTGCATGATGCCCTATGAATGGAATATACAATGTGTGTCTTTCACATCTGTCTTCTTTCACTTAGAATAATATTTCCAATGGCATCTACATTTTTAGTATGTATCATTACATCAAACCTTTTTGTTGCTGAATAATATTCCATTAATGGATATACTAAAATTTATCCATTTATCAGTTAAGAACGTTTGGGTTTTTTTCACTTTTTGGCTATTGTGAATAACACTTCTAAGAACATTTGTGTACAAGGTTTCCTGGGGATGTATGTTTCCATTTCTCATGGCTACATACCTAAGAGTGAAATTGGTGGACCATATGGAAACTCTGTGTTTAACCATTTCAGAAGGTGCCAGACTGTTCCCAGTGTACATGAACCATTTTATATACCCACTAGCTGTGTGAGGGTCCCAGCGTCTCTCCATATTCGAGCCAACATTTATTATCAACTCTCTTTTTGATAAAGTCATCCTAGTGGTTCTGAAGTTGCATCTCATCGTAGTTTGCATTTGTGTTTCTCTGATGTTGAACCTCTTTCACGTACCTATTCGCCACTTGTATATCTTCTTTGGAGCAATGTGTACTCAACATTTAGTAATTTTTAACTGGTTTGTGTTTTGTCATTGAGTTATAAGAATTCTTTATATATTCCAGATAAAAATGCTTTACAAGATATAATTTGCAGAAATATTCTCCTTCTGTGGGTTGTCCTTTACTTTCTTGATGGTACTCTTTGAAGCACAAAAGTTTTTACTTTGGATGAAGTCCAATTTATCTATTTTTTCTTTTGTTACTTGTGGTTTTGATGTCATGTTTAAGAAACCGTTAACTAGTCTTAGGTCATGAAATTTATTCCTATGCTTTTTCCTTTTTTAAAAACCATCTTAAACATTTTAAATTGTACAATTTAGTAATGTTATGTATATTCACATCATTGTGAAATTTAGATCTTTAGAAATTTTTTATCTTTCACAACTGAAATTTTGTACACATTAAATACTAATTTTCCCCCTACTCCCACCCCCGGCCCTTGGCAACCACTACTTTATGTTTCTGTGATTTCGACTACCTTAAATACTTCATATGAAGGGAAAGTATTTGTCCTTTTGTGATTGGCTTATTTCACTTAGCATAATGTTCTTGAGATTGATCCATGTTCTAGCATGTGACATGATTTCCTTCTTTCCGTAGGCTGCTTAGTCTTCCATTGTATGTATATACCATATTTTATCCTTTCATCCACCAATGGATATTTGGATTGCATCTCTTGGCTACTGTGAATAATGCTGTAATAGGGATTGTATGGAATTTGTAAATTGTTTTAGGTAATATGGACATTTTAACAATATTAAGTCTTCAAATCCACATGCATGGAGATGTCTTTTCATTTATTTATATACTCTTTGATTTCTTGTAGCATTGTTGTTTTGTAATTTTTAGTGTCCAAGTTGTTTGCCTCCTTGGTTAAGTTTATTTCTAAGTATTTTGTTCTTTTTCATGCTATTATAAATAAAATTGTGGGTTTTTTGTTTTTGTTTGTTTGTTTGTTTATTTGTTTGTTTTTGTAGTAGAGACAGGATTTCACTATGTTGGCCAGGCTGGTCTCAAACTCCTGGCCTCAAGTGATCCGCCTGCCTCAGCCTCCCAACATGTTGGGATCACAAGTGTAAGCTGCCGCACCTGGTCTGAAATTTTCTTCTTAATTTCCTTTCCATATTGGTCATTGCTAATGTATGGAACTGCAATGGATTTTTGTGTGTTAATTTTGCATTTTGTAACTTTGCGGAAATCATTTATTAGTTCTTACAGGTTTTTGGTGGAATTTTTAGGGTTTTCTACATATAAAACCATATAATCTGTAAATAGAAATAATTTTACTTCTTCCTTTCCAACTGGAATGCCTTTTATATATCTTTTCCTTGTCTAATTGCTCTGGCCCAGTACTACGTTGAATAGAAGTGGCAAGAGTGGGCATCCTTGACTTTCTCCTGTACTTTGAGGAATAGCTTTGTCTTCCACTAGTAAACATAATGTTAGTTGTGGGCATTTCATGTAAGGCCTTTATTATGTGGTAGTATTTTCCTTTTATTCCTAGTTTGTTGAGTGTTTTTAATCATGAAATGGTGTTGAATTTTGTTGAATGCTTTGTCTGAATCATGTGGTTTCTGTCTTTCATTATATTAATGTGGTGTATGACTTGATTGATTTTTGTATCTTCACTCATCCTTGCATTCCAAGTATAAATCCAACTTGGTCATGATGTATAATCTTTTTTTTCTTTGAGATGGAGTCTCACTCTGTCACCCAGGCTGCAGTGCAGTGGCGCAATCTCGGCTCACTGCAACCTCTGCCTCCCAGGTTCAAGTGATTCTCCTGCCTCAGCCTCCTGAGTAACTGGGATTACAGGCACCTGCCACCAAGCCTGGCTAATTTTTGTATTTTTAGTAGAGACGGGGTTTTACCATCTTGGCTAGGCTGGTTTTGAATTCCTGACCTCGTGGCTCTGACATGGCAACTTTGCTGAGCAGTACAGGGTGTTCTTGTCCAGGAGTCCATGGACCTTCAGGCAATCTAGCAAAATTTGGAGTCTGTGATGGGCTTGGAAATTTCAGTGAAGATTTGGGAGTGTCCTAACCCCAGCTATTTAAGAGCCTCTGCTTTAGATGGTGTGAGGGACCCAACAACCACATTCTATATAGCTGTCCTGGGCATGCTTGGTCTTCCCAGCAATGAATTTTCTGTGGTGTGGTCTCAGAGCTCACTTCACTCCACCCTGAGACTCTTGTACAGTGAAGTGCAAGGATGTGGCCAGGCCAATTGTCAGCAGTCAGCTCCTGGCCTGCCTAACTCAATATAGAGCATGCGTCCACTGTGTGCTACTCTGCTGCCCAGAGTCATCAGGCTCATGAGCCAGATACAAATGCTGAGTCTGGGGCCTGCGTGCCCGAGAGGCCCTTTCCTGTCAGTTGGCCCAGGGAGCATCACACAGGGCACTCTTCTCCTCAGTCTCTCTCGCATCTCTCTGGCAGACAGGTGGTCATGATCGTCAGTGCTGTGGGGCCCTATTATTCCAGAGCAAATGCTGGAGCCAGACTTACCCTGTGGAAATGCACGAGGACGTGGGCTGTGGTGATGGGCACCCTCAGTCAGGCACCAGCTGTCCCGCGTTCCTGGCTTCCACCTCTGGGGCAGCTCCCCGACATTCTCTGAAGTCTGTCCACTTCGTTTTCTGTTACATTTGCCCTTGTCAGGGGGAGCAGTGGGCTTTGGCCTGTTTACCTAAGCCCTCATGTGTGTGCTGCAGCCTGGCTTGGGACACATTTGGTCTCCATGTGAAGACCGAGATTGCAACTTTCTGTGCTTGGAGCCCAAAAGGACAGGTGGGGCCTGAGGGAGGGATGCCCCCATCCCAGGACAAGGAACTTCCCCCAGGAGAGCTGCTCATGGCCCCCTGTAACTCCCAACTCCCATGGAGGGGCTGACAGGGGCTCCCTGCAAGCTGAGGCTCTGAGCACAGGGACACCTGGGGCCCCACATACCAGCCCCATGAGAAATAGGGCCAAAGAGCCTCATTCCCCCTGTGAGTGGCTGGTCACCCACACTTCAGGGCCTCATCCTGCGCTGATCTGCACCTGACATGCTGAGTCTTCCTTGGGCTTCATCCCCTGGAGTCGTCCCCTATTCCTGGCTCCCATGCTGGTGGCCCTGCCTTCTCCCCCAGGCACCCAAGGACTCTCCAGGCCATACCTCAGTGACAGCAGCTTTGCCATCCCACTGGCCTCAACCCCAGAAAAACTTCAAGAGAGCAAGGCCCAGGATTTTAAAAGGGCTAAGACTAATGTTACAGAAAATGGACTGTGAGATAAGGAATTTTCACAAGTATTCTCCAATTTATGCAGAGAATGAAACAGAAATTGTGGAATTCAAAGTTGCAAAAAACAACACTAAGAAATAGTGGTTTAAGCGGATGATGCTTTCATGGATTCAGGGAAATGACTGCTATCCACAGAGTGTGCAGAGGAAGTGCCTGGTCCTGGTGGGTAGCATGGCTGTGGCTCATCCAAGAGAATGAGACAGGGCTGGGCAAGCCTTATATGTGGAATTCACCAGAGTGAAGCTTGGCCAGTGATGCAAGGGAAGGACCACGATGCTGAAGGTGTTGACTACCAATTTTTGCCACCATCAACCCTGATTCAAAGCATTTGCTGAAGAACCAGAGCAGACTGACAGTGAGATTTTGGGCCCCTGGGCCAGTCATCCCTACAAAATGAAATATTTCTCTAAGAACAGGACAATGAGTCACCATTTTCCCAAACCACAGACCATATCTTAATAGAACAACTTTTTAAAAAGTTTTTATTTTATTTTAAAGTTCCAGGATACATGTGCAGAATGTACAGTTTCATTACATAGGTATACATGGGCCATGGTGGTTTGTTGCACCTATCAACCCATCTTCTAGGTTTTAAGCCCTGCCTGCATTAGGTATTTGTCCTAATGCTCTCCCTCCCCTTGACCCTGACCCCCTGACCCCCAACAGGCCCCGGTGTGTGATGTTCCCCTCCCTGTGTCTATGTCTTCTCATTGAATAGAACAACTTTTAAAAATGTGCAGCTGGAGCAGCCTTGAAGGGAATTGGTAAGCAGTGAGTGGAGAGTGATGTGTTTCAGGGAGGATTTGGACTGTCTGGCTTGCAGGTGACCCTCTTGTCCCACAGAGGCAGTCTGCCAGTAACTCATCAGGAAGCCCAGGTAGTCTTCCTCAGGCACTTCCATCATTCCTGGGATGGCAGAGATGAAAAGGGACTGGAAGAGATGGGGGCAGAGAACAGCCCTCACTGACAGCACAGAGCCTCACCTCTCCACACAGTCTCTGTCTCCTCTCCTCCTCTGCCCACACAGTGACTCCCAGCCGCTAAGATTCCTGCTTTCAGCAATGCCCGATAGCACACCAAATATCTGAGGAGTTCTCAAACACCAACTCTTCACTGCCCATTAGCACAATGAAGAAACTGAGGAAAATGTATATGTCCCTGAATGTTGCTAATGGTCTTAGGGCAAACTGCTACTTATTCTGCATTATGTATTTCTTAGTTAATTGGGGTTAGGATGTCATTTTTAATGAAATGATGTTAATAGTGTTTGTAAAATGAACGATGTGCAACCCCATGAAAAACTCTGTGCTTTTTGAAGGAGTAAAGGAAGCAAGGAGGTGTGATAAAAATTTTGATTGTTGAAGTGGCATGGGGGCAGGTTGAACTTGTCCAAGACTGCTTCCCTGCAGGCCAGCCTCCTTAAATGCTTCATGAATGCTCTCCATCGCTGGGCATAAGGTCATCAAGGCTGAGTTCTAGTAGAAGAGACATTCTAGAGGTCTAGAATGTCTTATACAAACACACTTAGAGACACCTGTTCTAGTAGTCCACCATTGCCTCCACTCCTTAGGTCTTGAAGCAAAATCATATTCATTCATTCTACAAGTATCTACTCAAGATGTGATATTTGTCAGGTGAGTGATGAGCACAATGGTTGATAGGCAGAGACAAACAATAATAAAAAAATGAGTAATAAAGGGTAATGAAGGCTGGGCGTGGTGGCTCATGCTTGTAATCCCGGCACTTTGGGAGGCGGAGGCAGGTGGATCACCTGAGGTCAGGAGTTCGGGACCAGTCTGGCCAACATGGTGAAACCCTGTCTTTACTAAACATACAAAAATTAGCCGGGTGTGGTGGCCTCTGCTGAACTCTCTTTTGTGTTTTAATGTAAGGTTAAGGAGCTCCTGGGCCTTTGGGGATTCTCAGCCAAACCAGGTCCCATCATCATGGCTTTCTCCCGTCTCTGCACGGGCGGACAGATAATCTGCTGCTGCACACAGGACACACAGAGCTCACCCCTGCTCACTCAGGCTCACCTCCTAGGATGCCTCCTAGGCAGGCAGAAGTTGAGGCTGGCTCGCCACACTCACATTCTGGGACCAGGGACCTGCACCTGCCCTTGCTACACTCAACTGTCTCTCGGGCTGTCACCACTGCCCTCAGAAGAGCTCACACTGCTGGGGAGCCCAACTGTTTCTCAGGCTCTTGCCAAGAGGTGGCAAGAGAGTTTCCCCTACTTACCTGCCCACTGGGAACAAAACTTTATTTACTTTTTATTGAGGTAAAACAGATTTAACAGAAACTACCATTTTCATCATTTTTGAGTACAGGGTTTATTGGCGTTAAGTTTATTCACATTGTTTTCTCACCATCACCGTCAATTCATCTCAAGAACTTTCTCATCATCCCAGTATCAGACTCTGAACCCATTAAACACACAGCTCACTGCTCCCCTTTTTCCAAGTCCCTTAATTTGAAGTGCAATGAGGAGACTATTTTTGAAATTAGAATGTTCACTTTTTGTTGACTTTCTCCATGAAAACCTTCCCTTGATTTAGTCAGAAGTCCCCACACCCTGGTTTCTGGGACAGATTCCTCCCAGGCCTCAGGAGACTGTGCCCCATCTGCTGATGATGCCATAATGGGACCCCAACAGGAAAACCAGGATATCTAATGTGCAAGGGCGGGGTTTTCAGGGGAGAGGAGGGGGGTTCCCGAGAATTCTGGTAGCATGTCTGGAACTAGAGCCTTGCGTGGGAAGTGCGGCATTTTTCTATCAGTGAAGCACTGATAGAAAAAATGGGGAGACACCTTCTGAGGGGGCATCACAGGCAGGGGAGAGGAGAGGCAGACAAGCACTGGCTGCACTTATACTCAGGCCACTGAGCAGCGGAAACAGTCCAGAGTGTGTGGTGCCACTTTCCCATTGGGATGTTGTGCCTTTTCTTACCAATTTTTGAGAACTTTTGGAATATTATGGATAATATTAAGGATAATAATCCCTTTCCCAGTTCCGGGCTGCTCCCTGTGGCCAGAGAAGGCAGCCTTGAAGGTGTTGGGTAAAGACCACCTGCCCAGCTCTCCAGGCTTGCTAATGCGGGGGAAGGAGATGCAGCCCAAGGATCCTGAAGCTCTTGCATCAAGTAGCTATACTCCACCCAGAGCTGCCGGCCACAGGTCCAGTGAAAGAAAACTGTCAGGACCACCACTGCTGCTGCCACCAACCCCTCCCCGGCAATAGAGGTGGAATAGAGATGACCTGCCCCCACCTGCTAAGCTTCCCTGCCTATCTCCTGAGGGATTCCTGGGCAACGTGGATAAGAAGGACACCAGTAGAACATCAGAATCCAGGAGACTAAAACAGCTGCTTGGGAAGATAAAGAAGACATGGCAGGGCAGGCATGGTGGCTCACACCCGTAATCCGAGCACTTTGGGAAGCTGAGGCGGGCAGATCACGAGGTCGAGAGATCGAGACCATCCTGGCCAACACGGTGAAACCCCGTCTTTACTGAAAATACAAAAATTAGCCGGGCATGGTGGCTCGTGCCTGTAGTCCCAGCTACTCAAGAGGCTGAGGCAGGACAATGGCTTGAACTCGGGAGGTGGAGGTTGCAGTGAGTGGAGATTGCACCACTGCACTCCAGCCTGGCGACAGAACGAGATTCCGCCTCAAAAAAGAAGACATGGCAAACTGCAGTGCCACCCAGCCTGCCCCTGCTGTCTCCACACCTGCTGAGACTCCCTGCCCGGGCCACCTACACTTCACAGATCCCAGCTCCTCCTCCTACCTCTGACTTGGCCCACATGGCTGCTGGGCCCCTCACCCTGCCTGTCCCTCCACCTTCGCCCACACCAAGAATTGAGTAAAAATTGATATCCATAATTCCTAACTCTCCCCGGGGTCTTCCTGCTGAACTTGCCCCCATTTTGGGGGTTCCACCTAATGAGAAAGGAGGCTGCCCTCATTCAGCTGCAGCTTCAGCACCTCTGACCTCTCAGCCCTGCCCCATACCTCCTAGCCCCGCATCTTTCTCCTTCCAGCTTCCCTTCAGAAGGGAGCCTCCTACACCCATATGTGTTTTCCTCTCCTCCTCTTTCCTCCCCAACTCCTCTTCCAGCACCTTCCACCGGGATCCCTGCTATCACTCATCAGCAGATGAATTCCACAGCAGCCATTTCCACCATCACAGCAAGGGCATCTGCCCACCTGACCTTGCAGCCTCCTTGAGCCCTCAGCTCTTTGCTATGGACATGACTTCCACTACTAACGCTGTGGTTTTCAAATCTTCACCAAGCTCCAGAGTGAGCACCCTCTTAATTTCCCAAATTCAGTGCACAATAGAGGCACCCTGGAAAGACATCGGCTTACGTCTGCCTGGCTACATTCATATTCTCCAGGCCCACCCCTCAGCCCACACTTGGGGCCCCCTGATGGGCAGCAATGAAAAGCCTCTGTCCCCAGTGCCCCTGTTTTTCCAAGCCTTCCCATCAGGGCTCCTCCAGGCAACTCCAGTTTATGGAGCAGCGTCTCTGCAACATCCTCCTCCAGAACAGATTGTGCGATGGGGAATGGCACCACAACTGCTGCAACTGAACACAATTAGGGTCCCCATTCAGAAAGAGCGCCCAAGGCCCACCTGGTACACACAGGTGGTATGATGAGGAACAAATAAGAAGCAAGTCTCCCTCCACATATGGTCCCCATGAATGGACATTGCTCCTGGAGGAAGGGGCTCAGTCCATTGAAGTTAAATTTAAGCTGCTCTCTCCTTATAAAAGCCAGAGGCCCCAAACCTCAAAGTGTGTGTGTGTGTGTGTGTGTGTGCGCGTGTGTGTGTTGGAGGAGGATGTGGGGCTGATGAGCCCAATCAGAACCACAGTGTATTTGAGGCACTCCCCTGTGGACAGAAGAAGAAGCCAGCATGTGTCATCATCATCTGTGCCCTCCCCGGCTTGACTGTTCATCTGGCTGACCAAAGCCCCCAGCCAGGTCTCTATTCTTTGAACTGGCAGGATGCCCGCTGCTATTTCCAGGTGCCCCTCTTCCCCTTGCCTGTTTACTTTGATGGGCTCTTCTCTGTCCTGATTGTAAATTAAAACCTTATTCTTGTTGCTCTGCCTCTGTTCATGTGTCTATATATTTTATAATATATATCTTACATATTTTAATTTTTAATTAAATATTATATATATTAATTATATGTAACCTTAAAACTAGATATAAAGAATGTAGGCATGTAGATACCTTGCAACCATAAAACCTAAAGAAACTTGCAGATCAACAAATGCAGAGACCTCATAAAATTCAAATGACAATATTAATATAATGGAACAAAGGCAGAACAGTCACTCCCCTCCGCTGTGAGGAAGTGGCGCCCCCTGTCCACATGCAGACTCTCCTGAGACCCGCCTGTTGGCGGTGTGCTTTGCAGTAATTGGCTGCTTCCACCACTTGTCCCTATGTAAGTTACACAGAGGCTTCCTTTGCACATCCTGTAATGAAGCCTTTTGGCCTTCACTTGGTGAGAACACAATATTTCATATTAACTCCCTGTGCATTCTTTTTTTTCTTTAATATTTCTCTATAACAAAGAAAATGTCATGCCCTGGCACCAAAGAAATGTTAAATAGATAAAAATATGGAAGCTCTCTGTTAAGTCGATCATCCAAATGAACCAAAATATGTTGATCTTGATCGGTCACTCCACATCTCCAGCAATATGACCCTGTAGGCACCTGATCTCCTCCATTAACATTTTATTTACAAAATCAGACTTCAGGCCAAAGCTGGCTATGGTTTGCTGACCCCTGTTCTAGTAGAAGAGACATTCAACAACTAATTACACAAATAACAACCACTAAGTGCTATCAAGTAAAAGTACCCAATGCTTAAAACCCTCTAAGAGTAGAGATTGAACCTATGCAGGTAGATCAGATTGCCCTGAGGGAGTGGGTCTTAGATTAAACGTAGTTAATTAGTCAGGTGAGGGCAAGACTACTCCAGATGGAGGAAACCACCTGGGGAAAGGGTTGGGGCAGAAGACAGCCTGGCAAACCCAGTTTGAAAGAGGCTTATGGAGCGGGAGCAGGAAGAGTGAGGGCCAGCGCCTGTGAGCTCAGGCTGAAAACAGCAGGGAGGCCAGCCCCTGTGAGGTCCTGTGGGTCTTGTGAGGGAATTAGGTCTCTATTTAAATACAGAGACTGCAGCACAAGACAAGATGGAGTTGGAAGCCTCCTCTGTTCACCTCCAGACCCACCTTCTGTATCCTCTTTGTGTTCATTTTGGTTCTAGGCTTGCCCAGTGTCTTTACAAGTTTTCCTCCATGCAATTCCAAAATCTTCCAACAAAACAAAAAGGAAAGGAAATTTTGTCTGCACCTAGGCTATCCTATAGTGGAGGACCTAGAGGACTGGAGAGAGCTGTGTTCCTGCTTCTCCTTTCCTCTCTGATGCCCCCTTATATGGAGTCTTAGCAAAGCTTTCTCTGTCCTCGATGTCAAAGGAGCCTTCAGAATATCACCTGGGCTCCTCCTCCTGTGTTACCATGCCTTCTGGGTCTCGCCCTGCCCGCCTCCGCACTCTGTCCTCACTGCCTCACTTCCACGCTCCCCTTGGGGACACTTGCACAGCTTGCTGCCCCGTGAATGCTCCATGTCCCCTTTTCAGTTCCACGTTGTTCCTCTGCTGGAAGAGCATGTGCCTCGCCCGGCCCCTTTGTCTGGACACCTTCTTTTCTTTAAGAATCCACCCAGGAATGGCTCCTGATGCTTCCAGGTCTGCAGGAAGCCATCCCCGGCCCCTTCCTCATCCAGCCTGAGCGCTGTGCTCCCCTGCAGTGTCCACACAGTTCCCGGTATGAAAGACTGACATCCCAAACTACTGTTCACGTCAGCCTCCTGCACCGCACCCTGAGCTTGTGAGCTCTATGACAGCAAAGGGCTTATGTGAAGGGCGTTTGGCACTTTCCACGTGAAGTTTAACCCATTTACCTTGTTAATTCCCATTTGTTCCCACCTCTTAGGTACCCGCATATTTCTATCCTTCAGATTTCCTAGCACTGGGCCTTATAGCAGCATTTCTTAAAATGGGGTCCCCAGTCCAACAGCATCAGCATCACATGGGAATTTGCTGGAAATGCAACTTCTGGAGTCCTCCTTGGACCCCTGGGATCTAAAACTCTGGGGTTAGGTGCAGCGATCTGTGCTTTCATAACCCCTCCAGCTGACACTGAGGCCGGCTAACGTTTGAGAACCACGGCCTCCCAGGAAGTCACTGCTCATGAAATTGTTGATTCCCTGAGGACAGTAACTGGTTATTTTCAATCTGAAAAAGAAAAAGAGTAACTGGAGGAAATGACAAAGAAAATTTTTACTTTAGAAAAAGAATTTTCCAACTTGATATTTCAAATACGTGACTTCCAAAGAAGGCCTAGCTTTGTACATTTAAAAACAAGGTTGATTCTGCCTGGCTCAGTCTACCCCACGTGTGGTTTTGCTGAAGGGCAGGTGTTTGGAAGAGATAACCTTACCAGGTGCCCTCCACTGCTCAGATTCTCTGCTTCTAGGATATTCTATGTAGCATAAAATAAATATAAGCTAGAGAGGAGGGCATGCTTGCTAGGGGAGTAAAAAGATGGTTTCTGTTTTGCAGGATGAAAGTATTCATGGATGGATGGTGGTGTTGGTTGCATAAAAATGTGAATGTATTTAATGCCACCAATCTGTGCAGTTCAAGATAGTTAAAATGATCAATTTTATGTTATTTATGTTTTACCACATTTTGAAAATAAAAATAAAAAGATAAAGCTGGCACCTAAAAATGTCCAGGTAACAATAAATCTGGCAGAGTGAAGTACAGGACTACCCATTGTATTTAGAGCAGCCCAGCAAAGCAGAGGCCCCTAGAGAAATGGGGGATAAGAAAAGTGAAAGATTGTTATTTCCAAAATAACCACCTACAAAGTACAAAGTGGTCTTCCTAATGGGAAGAAGTGATTGTTCCTTGGCTCATTTTCTTTTTTTTCCTTTTTTTTTTTTTTTTTTTTTTTTTTTTTTTTTAGTTTTCAGGGTTTTTGTTCAGTTTGAATTCATATGTGGGAGGATGTCATAGTGTTTGCAGGCCTTTGGATTCTTGAGAACTTAATCAGGCCAAGCTGTTCATGAGGAGTGGGGTGCTCAAATTCATTCTTCCAACAAGGGGCTGTTGGGTACCACTATGGTGCCAGCCCTGTGCTGGCCACAGGTATGAAATGCCCAGTGAGGGCCACATCCTGGCTCACCTACCAGGCCACGGGCTGAGCCCCACAGTTGCCTGAGAAATTTGCTTTCAGGGGTAATTTGTAGAGATTGTAGCTGAGCTTTGGGTGACAACCTGAGGTGCGGTCAGACTTTATCATCACAACCAAAAGTCACATGCTGATGAGAGGCTCCAAACAACACCTGGAGCCCATGACCCAGCAACTTCCAGATGTTGAGTTGGGACAGGGAACAGGCTTGTCTGCTCCAAATGAATGCCCTGACCAGAAAGAGTAAACCAGGGAGGCACTCTTGAAAGAGCGTGTTAAGGAGCAGTGAGCCCCCTTCCACCTCCACCAGGAAACGTCCCCAGGACAGACAGCTGCCGACCTCTTTCTGGAAGCGCTGGGCCTCAGAAGATTGCTGGTTCCTGCCTACTTGCTCCCAAGGCATATTCTTGATCAGAAAGGAGGGAAGAAGTGCGTAGGCATGGGGAGGAGGGGCAGGGAAGAAGTCACAGGAATGCCCACAGCAGAGGTCTGTGGAGATGCTGGGCTATCCCTGGTGGCAACACTCTTGGGGCTGGCGCTGGGTGAGGATGGCCTCCAAAGCACCCTATGCTGTGACTCCAGCCCCCGGGATCCTCCTCAGGGTACAGAGAAGGAGCTCAGGTGAGCTCTGGGTGGATGATACCGTCTTTTTCCATTGAAATCACAGAATTTTACAGCTAAAGAGAACTTCCAGATGATTTCAGTCAACCACACTCTTTTGGGGGCTGGAAGCAGAGATGAAAAGATTTAGACAAAATTACACAGTTCAATGATTAACAATTCAGACTAAGTGTCAGGCCATCTGACCACAACTGAGGCCCCCCGATACTACTCTACTAAGTGTATTATACTGTGGTGTGTATGTAGGTGTGTGTGCACATGTGTGTGAATGTGTGTCAGGACTACATGTATATACATGCGTATTGTGTGAGTATGTGTGTATTTGGGCATCTGTACATAAGTGTATGTGTATAGGTGTGTTGTGTGCATACATGCTCATATGTGTAATGAGTTAGTGTGCATGTACTTATGTGTGTATTGAGCATGTGTGTAATTCTATGTGTTTGTGGGTGCACATATATGTGTATTTGTGTGTGCTTAGTGAGCGCTTCGCTGGCCATAATGGCTTGTTTTTCTGGCCAAAAGACGTGATTCTCCCTGATTCAGCCGTGAGTGTGCATTTCCCAGGGTCAGGGTGACTAACCAGGACATCCGGAGAACTTTCTTCTTCTCTGCCCCACCCATCCTGCCTACTCCATTCTCGGGTGTCAGAGGCTGAGGCTCTGGCCCCAGTGTGAGCCCCACAGGAGGTCTTCAGAGCCCTCAGGTTGCCTCACAGCCAGCCTCCATGAGCATCTTTCTGTTTTCCAAGAGGGTGAGCCAGGGCTGCTCCTGTCAATGACAAGATGCTGGGACCTGGATTCACGTGCAAGGAGAAACCAGGCACTGGGGGCTGAGCGTCCAGCTGCTGCTGGGCTGGGAGTCAGCAACCTCTGTGCTTCCAGGGCTCACCCTCCCTGGCCATGGGCAGTGCCCCTTGGCTTTGCGGCAATTTGAGGCAATGAAAGTTTTTATTTCCTCTGGCTGTATTTTCTAGACATATTTTAACGTAGCTATAATCTTACAAAATGTTGAATTTTTTGTCCTGCTTTTAAAAAGATTTTAATTAGGTTAGATTATAACCAAGGCAGGTGGATCACCTGAGGTTGGGAGTTCAAGACCAGCCTGACCAACATGGAGAAACCCCATCTCTACTAAAAATACAAAATTAGCTGGGTATGGTGGCACATGCCTGTAATCCCAGTTACTCGGGAGGCTGAGGCAGGAGAATCGTTTGAACCCGGAAGGCAGAGGTTGCAATGAGCTGAGATCGTGCCATTGCACACCAGCCTGGGCAACAAGAGCCAAACCTCATCTCAAAAAAAGTAAATAAATAAATAAATAAAAATGACTAATAAATACTTACTGAAAGTATAAGTATAAAAAACTTTAATTATGTTAATTATGAGATTTTAAAACTGTATTACTGGAGAAAAGAGACCAAATCTCCTCATAATACTTTTTTTGTTTATTTAATAATAAAGATGAACATAAACACCTGTGCAATTCAGTGTTTAAAGTTTGCCAAGGTATATGTATATATTTTTCCCAACGTTGATGCTGTGAGAAGCCCAAGCCATGGAGAGGCCCCAGGCAGGTGCTCTGGTCAACAGCCCAAGCTAAATGCCCAGCCAACACCAGCATCTGCAACCAGCCCTGTGAGTGAGGGTTTGCAGATGTCTAGTCTCGTCAAGCCCTGCAGATGTCTAGTCCCATCAAGCCCTACAGATGTCTCCAGCACAGATAGAGCCTACAGATGTCTCCCCGTGAAACCACACAGCCAAGTCCAGGCGGAAAATGTGAAAGATGTTTCTACCAAGCCACTGAGTTTCTGGGTGGTTTGTTTTACAGTAATAGAGGAGAACCAGAACGGTCTGTTCCTGCACTCTCCAGTGGTCCCCTATGTTCAAACACTCCGCTTAGCAAGCTTCATCACCCAACACCTGGACCTAATCACTCTGCAGGGTCTCTCACTGCAGTCATTTCTCAGGGTTACTGACATGCTAGTCTCTGCTAAGATGCTCACCTCTTCACCTTCCCTTAGTGACTGGCTGCTCTGGTTGATATTGTCTTTCCCTTCCTCCCAGAAACCCTCCCTCATTACCTCCCTTTCCCTAACAGTTGCAGCTCCTTGAGGTCAGGGCCTGTCTCTTCCACCATGGTGATAACCTGCATATGTTGGCTGCTGCATAAATTCTAACTGTATCAAATCTAGGACCCAACCTGCACAGTTAAGGGATTTACCTTGGGAATCTTCCCAATCTTCTTGCTAACATGGGCTACTTTTATTATAAAATTTCACAGTTGCCATTTTTGTCATTTTATGTCAAAAAGATGGTTTTAGCAACAACTAGGGAAGGGCACGTAAGAGTCCAGCATGGCACATGATCCAGTTCAGATGAACTTAAATGGAGCCTGCTGGAGGCTTTGTGGGATGAGACCCCATTGTCCTCCTAGTTTTCTTCCTGAAAGATTATGGAGTCTATTCACTAAACACTTCTAACTATCTTTTATTTTTTTTTCAGTGGGAACATGAGACTTTTGAAAAAACACAGGTGATGAAACTATGTGCTCTTTTAGCCAATACAATGTGGGAAGTTTTTCTGTTGGTTAAAATAATTCAGGTGCTTACAGGTAGCTTGGTGTGAATGTGGCCACAGACTCTCAGTTTGGGTCCTCTTGTCTGTCTTCCACCTTCCAAGGCCAGCACACCATTCCTGAAGCCCAGCCTCACACCCTGGAGTTTATCCCTCATCCTTTGAGGACCCAAAGACAAACAGCCTTGCCAACGCACTAGTGCCTTCTCTCACCTCAACTGTAAAGTGGCCATGGGGTCTTCACCAGCAGCTGGGGAAGATGCTCCAGAAACTGGCCCTGATAGCTTTGCCCTGTAACTTGACTGGGTTGCAAACATTGTGGGTGAGATAAACATGATCTCTAAGGCTCTTTTTCAGTATTGAAATTACATGTATGTCTGATCACTTTAAAGAAAAATGTGAATTTTTTCTTTATTAAAACAATTTTCCTTTGTCCTTATAGATCGTTTGTCATATTTTGCTTCAATCAAGAGTTGTGTCAGACACAACCACTGGGCAGCTGACATGAGATCTGCACATTTGTTACTAGAAGAGCCAGAAGGCCACCCACTGTTCCTCCTAGTGAACCACTGGTAGAGCAGGTATGGCTTAGAGCCCAGTTTCATGCTTGACTACTGATATGGTTTGGCTGTGTTCCACCCAAATCTCATCTTGAATTTTAACTCCCACAATTCCCACATGTTGTGGGAGGAACCTGATGGGAGGTAATTGAATCATGGGGGCAGGTCTTTCCCATGCTGTTCTCATAATAGTGAATAAGTCTCACGAGAGCTGATGGTTTTATAAGGGGAAACCCCTTTCGCTTGACTCTCATTGTCTTCTCTTTTCTGCTGCCATGTGAGACATGCCTTTCACCTTCTGTCATGATTGTGAGGCCTCCCCAACCACGTGGAACTGTGAGTCCATTAAATCTCTTTCTTTTATAAATTGCCCAGTCTTGGGTATGTCTTTATCAGCAGCGTGAAAACAGACTAATACAACTACACAAAAAAGTCAGTGCTTCAAAACAGAAAGAAGCCCCACCAGTACATTTGAAATTACAGTTTATTTAAACAGGTAAAATTGTATATATCCTTTTAAAATGAAAATACAAAGTAAGTGAATCAATAATACAAACATGTTTATAGCAGTAATTAAAATACAGGTAACATTTACCAGTGTGAAAATATCAGAATTCCACTCACACTTGGATCTTCAATGATTGAAGTGTGCATTCAACACAGCAGGTGCTGGTAGATTGAAGATAAATTCCTCCTTTGGATGTGCCATCCTCAGTCAAGTTCTTCCTCATCACCATCCATCAGCTCACACAGTGGGGTAGCTGGCTGCTGTGGCAATTCCACAGTTGTTCCTCCGGTCTTTGGCCATCTTTATGTAGCCATCCATGCCCCAGTTTTTACCCCAGCTGAAAGGAGAGCAGGTTTTCCATTTCAGAGGAAGGATAAAGCACACTGGGTTATTAATTTGAACAGTGAGCCAGAAGCCACAGTGTGCCAGAAGCCACAGCCTTAACATAAAGAATCAGGAGATGCTGATGTTCCTGTTCATCCCTTGTAAATTCTTGAGTCAAAACCTGCATATCGCTTCAATCCCAGACCCAAAACTGTGACCTTTCACAGAACTGCAAAATCAGAAACAGAAAAAGGATAGGATGTCTTTCCAGCCGATCTACTTCAGAATTAAGAAAATGTTCAGAATTTAGACATGCAATGGGACAAATACCATATTAATATCCCCAGCATGCTTGTGACAGTATCTTGATGTTACAATCAATCATTAATATTCTGTGTTCTGCCTAAGGGGGAAAAAGACTTCTGGGATTTCAGAAATGTGATTAAGGGCTTGTGGTATGTAAATACTGATTGCAAAAAAGGATTCCCTTTTGAATTTCAACTATAAGTCTTTCTGGCAATTTATACCTGTTCTTCACCAGCCAATATTTATTGTTATCTGAGTCTGCTCCTTCATAGCTGTAGCCAACCACCAGCATAGCATGATCCAGGCCTTCAGGGTCACAGCGTGGCTCAAAATAAATTCCTGAGAGAATAAAATGAAGGCTGGGTGAGAAGTTCCCAAGGACACCTGACAGTAACCCACCCTGTCACCCACAGGGAGGGAGGCATCTCTAAAATCAGTGAAATGACACACAGTCCAGATCGGGCTTAACAAGATCTATTGTTATCAAGGCTAGGGAATTAGGCTCTCATCCACAACTAGCAGAAATAGAAATTAGCATAAGTCCCTCATAAAAAAACTTTCCTACAGGCATAAAAGACCACTCATTTTAAGCTTGTAATTCTACTCTAGAATATCAATCTTAAAAATAGCACAGAACACCAAAATCCTTGACTCAAAAGGCTCTTTTCAGATTTAATCACAGAAGTAAAAATCTTTGGAAAAATTATAAGAATACAACAATTAGACAATATTTAAGTAAATTAAACTATACTATAAATAACATAGCTATTTATAAAAAGTTATGAAGTACAGGTATTCATGGAGATACGCTCAATGTAATATCAAATAGAAGCATTGGGTATGATTATTGCGTGTATAGAGTCCATCATGCTGGTGTGTCATGGTGGTTTACTTTTTTTCTGCAATAATTTCTATGAAGAAAGATGCTTACCTTTTTTATAGAACTGGAAGAAGACATGGCTTGCACCAACAGCAACAGAGATGGGCCCCACAGTTGCCACTGCCTTCGCCAGGTCCTTCTCCCGTGAAGGGATGTCCACAAAACCAGTGTCATTAGCAGCAGAATACTTGGGATTGTACCTACAGGTTTTAACCTTTTAAAGGTGAAGAGGGAGGTGACTTGATTACTACCATCCTTCTCCTGGGGAATGTGAGTCAGAACCACAACACTCAGCAGTTTGCAGCATAGAATTTCCAAGTCAACACTGTTACAAATCATCCAAGGAAGTGAAATGTTATTATTAATAGTTAATTTGAAACTGAAAATTAGCTCAGTTCTCTTCAGTGAGACCCCCAGGTTTACTTTCCGTAAGACATTTTTCACAATGGAGACATCTGTATTATATGTAGAATGGTTTGTATATTCTCCATGTCACATAGAAGCAAGAACAGCTGCATGTTAACCATGTAATCACAGAACTGTGCAAAGGCTATAATTTATAATGACAACACTGTCACTTTGCAGATAGAGATTCCACCATCTAAAACGTGAATTCTGAAAAGTGTCTGTTATCTCTGAAAGTGTCCCAGTAAAACCAAGCAGGAATGGCAGCAAGAAAAGGAGCTCCATTTACCTTTCCTTCATATGGATAGGATGCCTCAGAGTCCAGGCCTCCGTTCTCCTGAACATACCGGAAGGGATTATCCATGAAGTCACCATTGCAGCCCTCATTGCCTTGAGGCCCAGAGCAGTCTACCAGATTCTGCTCATTCAGTGAGATAAGTTTGCCTGTTTTCCAGAACATCTGCCCTTCCAGAGCACCAGTTGCACTAAAAGCCCAACAAGAGCCACACTGACCCTGAAAAGAGAATAAAAAAGCTGATACACACACACACACACACACACACACACACAGCAAGACTTTTAACAACATGAGTATTTAGCTCATGTAGCTAAATACTCCTTTAAAAAGTGAACTGCATGTTGCTGCACAGTCTACCATAGCACAAATGTCAATTGCTTCTTGGCTTTCCTGGGGTGATGGGAGGTCTGAACCTAACACAGTCTCACCTGATCCTTCACAGGAGTCATGTAGCCTTTCTCTCTCCAGTCCACAGATGTGGGGATCTCAAGAAGCAGGCGTTCCTGGAACTGTTTCCCCTTCCTGTGCTTCTGGTATTGAAAACCATTCATCACCTGCCTGAATTCTTCATTGGTCTTCAAAGAAAAGTAAATAAAATGTTAAGAAGCAAGAGATTAATTTGGTAAAGAACTGAGGAGGGGAAGCACAGAGCTGGGCAGCCCACAGCATACTTACCATGTCTCCAAAGGCGTTCATGGCCATTGTGAAGCTGTGTTTCCCTTGGCTGTATTCCTGATTGTGCTGCTCAATCATCTTCACGTCCTTCTCTCACACTGCTCTCCTCCATCCTTCTCCATTCTAAAGGCAAACATGTAACTGAGGCTCTTCATTTCTTTTTTTTTTTTGAGACGGAGTCTCGCTCTGTCGCCCAGGCTGGAGTGCAGTGGCACGATCTCAGCTCACTGCAAGCTCTGCCTCCCGGGTTCATGCCATTCTCCTGCCTCAGTCTCCCGAGTAGCTGGAACTACAGGCGCCTGCCACCATGCTAACTTTTTGTATTTTTTTTTTAGTAGAGACAGGGTTTCACCGTGTTAGCCAGGATGGTCTCAATCTCCTGACTTTGTGATCTGCCTGCCTCGGCCTCCCAAAGTGCTGGTATTACAGGCGTGAGCCACCGTGCCCCGCCGATGCTATTTATTTCTAATTAAAACCCAACATATGCTAACCAAGTGAATCTTCAGACAGAGATGTAAGAGTAACCATGGCCAGGGAAGGCTTGACACTTCTAGGAGATGTTCTCCAAGCTAAGACACAACAAGGGTGTATGCCCATATCGTGCTCATAATCAGTGCTATTAAGTTATTGCATTAGGTTATTGGTAGGAGCCAGCCTCTAGAAGCCACTCTCTGGCCATATGATCCCAATAGCAATGCCCATCTCTCTGGGGTTCCCCTGGACAGTTTCAGATGCCACCAACCATGCCATATAATCTCTTGTGCTTTGCCTTCCACTTGGTCCATTGTGCGTCTAAACTGTGGTCACGTGTTAGAGCAGCTGAGGCAATTCCCAGGCAAAAGGCAGCCAGGAGGAGTGAAGGATTCATGTTTCAAAAATCTAGGAAGGGAAAAGAAATGAGGATCTGATTAGACCGATCCTAAAAAGCCATTTTACTACGCCCTGAGAAACTAGAGGCACCATGGTAGAAAAAAAATATTTAAATTATTCTTCCAAGCATTTACCTAAGGACTGTGGAAGAGGCCAAGGATGTGGCTGGAGAAAAACAGGGCAAGTGGAGGTATTGGATGGACCCACCAAAATGAAAAGCAGCCTGTCCAGAGCTGTAGGAGTTGAAACAGTTTTATGGGGTGATGATGACAGGCTATGAAAAGGACAGGAAGGTACCTGATGGGCGAGAAGCTTAAGGCAACAACCAGGAAACTAGGAAACCGTCGGCCCAGGTTTTGTCCCAATTGTGCTGAGGTCATCCAGGCAAAACCTCAAGAATGAAGACATCTAATTTCAAGAAGGGACAAAGGGATCCCCAATAATTGGGAAGTCACGTCACACCTTGTTCTTGGCTAATACACAGCAGAAGGTGAAGTATGTTTTCCAAATGCCCCTTGTAATGAAACAGTTCTTGAATGTCTTCCCAGGACAAACTGGGAAGGGGAGCACCTATCTACCGCCGTTCCCGCGGTCCTGCAGTCCTGCAGGTGGGCCAGTCCTGCCAACTCTCCAACTCCCCTCGCAGAGCATAAACTGAATCAGGTGGCCGAACCACCGGACGCCAGAGTCCCCAGTGTCCGCGCCCACACAGGCGTAGGCAGCTTCCCAGGCTTTGGGCTGGGGACCCAGGCCAGGTCCCCTGGCTCTTGCTCCCGCCCTCCGCTCATGCTCACTGTGGCCCCAGGACGTGGGCGATGTTGCAGGGAGCAAGGGGCGCCTCTGCCTGACTTGCCGGGGTCGAGCCTCCCTGTCCCACCCCACCAGCCCTGGGAATACTGCGGCCTGGCACTCCCGAAAATCCCTCACTCACAGAGCTGAAGGACTTGCTGGGTCCCTGGTGGCCCCTGTCCAATCTTAGCCCACTGGGGTCTCAGCTGCTGTAGCCACAGGTGGACAGGCACAGTGGGCAGGTGCTGGGTCCAGGAGTCTCCTGTCGCCTAAGGCCGCCCGAAAGCAGCTAACTGACCTCTAAAGCCCCTAGACCCCCCTGCCCCCTTGCCGCCCAGGCAGGCCCGCCCCCACCGCTTGCCCGCTCTGCGATTGGCTGCGCCAGCCGCTGGGCGGGGCCTTCCGGCGTGCTGACTCCTGGCATGTGGAGCAGCTCAGTCCCCTTGCCTCAGTGGAACCGGGGGAGGGGAGCTGGGGGCTACGAAGAGAAGGGTCGGAGGCCTCCCTGGAGGGTTCGGATCAACTAAGTACCCTATTTAATGCCCTGGGCAGGTGGTTTATGAAAAGAAATTTACGGGAGCCCTGTGTGCATTTTCAGCCTAACCCTGCTTTTCCCTTAGGCCTAGAATGTTTGATTAAAATCTCCTGCAGGGCAGAGAGCCAGAGGACTCTAATCCAGTGGTTCCTGTTTAGTCCACAGCAAAGGTGCGGCCGGTTGGAAGAACGCACAGCCTGCAAGCAGAAGCCTTATCTCCCAATTAAGGGTGTAGAAGAATCTGGGCGTGTTGCTGGTGGCTCATGCCTGTAATCCCAGCACTTTGGGAGGCTGAGGCAGGCAGATCACTTGAGCCCAGTAATTCGAGAACAGCGTGGGCACCCTGGCGAAACCCCTTCTCTACTGAAAATACAAAAATTAGCCGCGTGTGGTGGCCCGCGCCTGGGGTCCCAGCTAGTCGGGAGGCTGAGGCACCAGCATCGCCCAGCCCGGAAGGTTGAGGCTATAGTGAGCCGAGATCGCACCACTGCACTCCAGCCTGGGCGAGAGGAGACCCTGTCTCAAAAACAAAAAAACAGCAGACAAAAAAACAACTGGTAGGAAAACGCACCCTCAAAACACATGATGAGATGGTCGAGACTAGACCCTAGGAGGGTGGGGACTGGCTGGGTGGGTATCCAGAGACCATGGGCGTTTCATAATGCATTGTTTCCAGTCTCCTCCACTCAGCGACTCTTCTTCCCCTGAAGTCTTGCATTAAGTAAGTGAATGAATCAATCATCAAGTTAATGAAGCTCTGACTTTGTACTTGTCCTTTGCTTGGTACAGTTGGGCACTGCCTTAGAAACAATCTCCAGGTAATTTTCCCAACTGCTTTTGTGAGGCCCAGTTTTCCATTTTAAAATCTAAGATTACCTCAGTAATCTTGCTTTTACAGCAAATGGGCATGGAGCCTGACAGATATATTTAAACTAAGTTATGGACAAGCTGCCCGGTGCATTAGGTAGCATAGGAGCTAACCTTGTGGGACATCTCCCCATATTCGTAATATTCACCCCTACATCTATAATCAATAAATGCTTGTTTGGAGGCCATAGAAACTCTTACTGAGATCTGACCTGTGTCTTCTGCTATCTGCCTGATTTCTCCCCATAGAACAGGAAAACACCGTGTAGGAGATATTGTGAATAGAAATATGAATATAGGCCGGGCGTGGTGGCTCACACCAGTAATCCCAGCACTTTGGGAGGCCAAGGCGGGTGGATCACCTGAGGTCAGGAGTTTGAGACCAGCTTGGCCAACATGGCAAAACCCCGTCTCTACTAAAAATACAAAAATTAGCCACGCGTGGTGGCTGGCGCCTGTAATCCTAGCTACTCAGGAGGCTGAGGTAGGAGAATTGCTTGAACCCAGGGAGGCAGAAGTTGCAGTGAGTGAGTTGGCACCATTGCACTCCAGCCTGGGCAACAGAGTGAGACTCTGTCTCAAAAAAAAAAAAAAATTACAAAAATTAGCCAGGCATGGTGGTGGATGCCTGTAATCCCAGCTACTCAGGAGCCTGAGGCAGGGACAACGGCTCAAACCTGGGAGGCAGAGGTTGCAGTGAACCGAGATCGCACCACTGCGCTCCAGCCTGAGAGACATAGCGAGACTCCATCTCAAAAAAAAAAAAAAAAAAAAAAAGAATATAAATAGAAAATACAGTGATTCAAATAAGCAATTGTTAGTTCCTCAGATCAGAACTGTGAGTTCTATACTAGACTCTTACATGTTATTTCTTCTGGTGTCTTAGCAATGATTCTGAATAAAGATCAGACTCCTTAGTCAGCAGGTGGGACAGTTCTCAATAACAGAAGCTGGGTTCTCAGGGGATCCCGTGGATATGAGGATGAAGGTTAGAAGCACTTGGGACCATACCTGCAGGTCTGATTTGAGGACAATGAGACCAAGACAGGAAGGCAGCACCTGCTGAGGGGCTGGGGGTGGGAGAAGGGAGGAAACAGGACACAAGAAAATAAGTATAAACCACCAGACTGCAGTCAGTGATCAACAAAATTCCCAAGTTTATATTGAGAAGATTTCCCTGGTTTGGGGTTTTGAAGAGATTATATAAGGGACTCGGGTTGCTTGATTTTTCTCATTCTTTTTCTTTTAACTTGGTCTCAATTTTTTTGTAAAAAAAAAAAAAAAAGAATGTCTTATGTGCGCCTTTAGAACTGGTGAATGAATGAACCTCCCTTTTTAAATAACTGAGATTGTCACTGAAGCACTGTCATCCGATTTAGGCTTAAAAATCTGACACTGAATTTATCCTAGGTGATAAAGTGCAAGTCTCTTGTCTCCTAGAAATGATCAGGCAAGGAAACACCCAGGAGGCCCAGGGCAAAATGCCCTCCTGGAAGCTGGTGGGGTAGGAAGATGCTGAGGCCCAGTATGGTCCCTGGAGCATGCATTCTGTGTGGTGACAGAAATTGTTTGCTTGACCATACATTAGTCAGGCTTCTGAACCTTCTGATAAACGCATCTGTGCACTTTTTGTAAAATTCAGTTTTAGCAAATTACCCTGCTAAGTCAGTTTAGCTGGCAGGAATCCCCGTCCACCATATACTGATCAGGGTCCTCATCCCCCACCATCCCGCAGCTGATGTCAGATAACCTTGGCCTGTGCTCAGCGAGAATCTCGTTAGGTCAGTTTAGCCAGAATCCTCCCTTACCCTTGATGTTCCCTCGTAGTCATTTCCTATCTGCTAACCCCCATCCTCCTCCTTGACTATAATTCCCACTTCCTTGTGCTGGATTCAGAGTTGAGCACAATTGCTCTCTCCCACTGTAAGAACTACTTGCAGTGCTCCTAGACCTACATATGTGAACCTGTTTCTTTAACAGTGACTCACCTGTCTTTTTCTCCTTTCAACTTGATACTAGCTGAGGCTTATCCGCATCAAAGTGGAGGGACTGGCCCCGGGGGATCCTCAGGGCTTCACCTTGATGGCCTGCAGGCTCACATTCCACTTTTTCTGGTGCCTTCTGGCTCCCAGAGTCCAGTTTGCCAAACAAGTGATGGAGGTTGGAAGGAGGGATGAGGTGACAGAGGTGAAGGAGGGTAAATTCTTTTCTAAGCCCTACTTGCCTGACATGCATTTAGGTTTTTAGAAAGGAACGTGACCCCACCCTTTATTTTGTATCTCCCACTTCCATGACCAGCCTTACCTGTAAAAATGGGGCATAGAAGAGCCCCCATCTCCTAGGGCAGTGGTTTTGAGCAGGGGGTCACTGACCAGTAGCACCTTCATCTCTTGGGAACTTGTTAGGAAATTCTGGACTTGGGGTGGTAGATCATGCCTGTAATTCCAGCACTTTGGGAGGCCGAGGCTGGCAGAACACGAGGTCAAGAGATCAAGACCATCCTGGTCAACATGGTGAAACCCCGTCTCTACTAAAAATACAAAAATTAGCTGGGCATGGTGGTGTGCGCCTGTAGTCCCAGCTAATGGGGGGCCGAGGCAGGGGAATCACTTGAACCTGGGAGGCGGAGGTTGCAGTGAACCAAGATCATACCATTGCACTCCAACCTGGGTGACAGAGCAAGACTGTCTCAAAAAAAAAAAAATAATAATTCCTGGAAATGGATTAGCTTGCTGACAAGAGTTATTCCATTGTGTGTTTCTACCTGCAATACCTGAGGATGCCCATTTTCTCACGATTTATAAACTAACTCATTTTATAGACGTAATTTTCATACATTTGGGGGTATCATTCTAACTTCATTATTATTACTTCAAGGTGTTATTATCTCCCCGTCATCATCATGGTCATTATCATAACTAGTTGGTGCTGACAGTAGTCACCCTGCATTGAGAACTCATGCTCCAGGCCCTTTCCACATAGACTTGATTTAATTCCATTCACTCCTCACAACAATCGTCTGAAAGAAAGACTCACTAAGCCATTGTATAATTGAAACACAAGAGGTGAGTGACTTGTGTGCCCTTGGGCAGGTAATTTAAACACTCTGTGCCCCCAAGTTCCAATAGATAAATGTAAATAATAATATCTTTCTTACCTAATACATGGGGTCAACAGTTAAAGTACTGTACATTTGTGAGGTATTTCATGGCACCTGTGAATTGCTCATGTGATGACATAGTGTGCTTCCAGTGTCAGTGTGCTGGGAAGGAGACAGAATAGGAAGAAGACTGAAAAGATGCCGAGTCTAGTGCAGGGTATCCTGGGGAAAACACCTCCTGTTTGTCCAAGAGCGATTGGCCACACATTGAAGACACACTACCTGCCTGTGAACTGGGGTGGCCCTGTTGAAATCTTGTGGAAAGCTTGAGATGCTCCTTAGAGGGTGTTTATCCCTCGAGCTGGCACAAATGCAGTTTGTTGTTCAGTTTTTCCTTCTACTCTGCCTCTATCTGGTACAAAATGGAATTGAAGAGTATATAAACCAGCAAGGAACAATCTGAAATCAGAATGGTGACAATGGAAGAAAGTAATCTTGGTTCAACCCAATGTTCACCTGAAGTCTCTTTATTAAAGACTACTAACAGGAACAAAATTGCATAATAATCTTCCTATGATAATTTCAAGTTCCAGAATTTCTCTACGGAACTTTCAAATTTCACCTCTGTTAACTCATGGAATTTTCCCTAGAATCTGCAAATTACCGAAGTCTTTGGAGGTTTGATGATCACTCACTGGTCAGCGGTACTATAAAAGGATTCTGGGGAGTTTGACTCAGTGGTCAGCAAAGGCTCTTCCGAATCTTCAGTCTGATTCTGAGATTCCCCGGGGAGAACTGGAGGCTTTCTTAACAGCTCTTGATTGGAAAGACCACCTGCTTCATCCTCTATTGCAACAGAAATAGCCATTGTGAAGCTCCATGGGGAGGCACAATGAGTTTTTCCTAGCATGTGTGACTCAGGTCATTTTGTTCTGTGGTTTCCAGTTGTGGGGACTTGGCAAGGTCACACCCTCCCCTGAGCCTCAGTTTCATCACTCAGAAAATGAGGATAACAATTCTACTTGCCTCATAGGATTGTTGTGAAGATTAAATGAGACATGTAAACATTTGCTTATAGTAATTTCACACCACTTTATTGTGGAATCAAAGACAGAATTCTTACAGAGGTCTTGGTTAGTTAAGAAAACATCCATTCAAAGATTTGATTCACAGGACACCCTCACTGTCTTTCTCTTTTTTTTTTTTTTTTTTTTTTTGAGACAGGGTCTCACTTCGTTGCCCAGGCTGGAATGCAGTGGTGTGATCTCAGCTCACTGCAACCTCTGCCTCCCAGGCTCAAGAGATTCTCCCACCTCAGCCTCCAAGTAGCTGGGATTACAGCCATGCACTGCCACCCCTGGTTAATTTTTGTATATTTTTTAGAGACGGGGTTTTGTCATGGTGCCCAGGTTGGTCTTGAACTCCTGGGCTCAAGCAATCCACCTGCCTCAGCCACCCAAAGTACTGGGATTACAGGCGTGAGTCACCACACCTGGCCCTTGCTTACTTTCGTACTTCCCATGAGGCAGGTTACCAAATTGGTGAAATTAACCATAACGTCATTGTGGTGGGCAAGCAGATATATTAAAAGCAAAGATACAGCAGGTTAACATTAAATTTTGCTCATCCCAGGACAAACCTGGCCACAGGAGGCCTTTGCCAGTATTCTGAAAAGTGTTGTGACCATCTCCTTTAAAGCTCAGTTAAAGGTTTCTGGCTGGACTCCAGGCTGCTTCAAGCTCTTTGCTTGTCTTTATCATTCTTTAAGGAGGGACCCAGACACAGTGTGCAGAGGCCTGAATCCTCCAGACCATTCTCTCTCCACCATGAGTCCTGCCGTGGGGACCTTTCCGGCTCCCTTTGGCCTTATGAGCCAGAAAATCAGGCTAGAGCCTAAAGAGAACAGAAATTTCATAATCAGGCCTGTTCTGTGACTGTATGGGGGAGCTGAAGGACACAATGGGCTTTCTATATTGGAGACTACCCATCATACTCTCTCTGACCAGGGAGAAAGGACAGATGCTGTGTGATTTTGCAGTCTGTGATTTGGCTTCTTATTCTCGCTGCTCTCTACACCTCATTATTTACTTCACTCCCCTGAAAAAAATGCTCCCTAACAGGCTCAGTACCCAACTTCTGGGTATTGCTGCCCACATTTGCCTTGGTTCTACCTTTTCAGATTGCAGGATCCTGAGGTTTTGCTTGGAGCAACTCAGATTCTCCACTAGATCTAAGATCTCACCTAGTCCTGAGGATTTCCTTAAAGGGAAGGGGAAATTAGATAGATAGATAGATAGATAGATAGATAGATAGATAGATAGACAGACAGATAGTTGCTGCCTTTGCTCTACAGCATCTGCTTGGTGAAGAGGCTCAGGATCTGGATCCTGGCCTCTCAGCTCTCAGGAACCCCATTCCCCCCTGACAGGGGTGGCAAGTTCATCCTATTATTCATTAAGAAATTTGAAAACAATCATTCAGGAATTTTAGGTCAAGAGCTGGAAAACCCCAAGCCTCCGTCACCTGAGCAAAGGGAGATACTGTGAGAACCTGCAGGATACACCCATGTTCCACCACCTGCCCGAAGAAGCCTGTGGTTCTTGTCAGCTTCTCAAGGGTGAAGCGCAGATCATTTTCTGCTTGAGCAGAAGAGCAGACCAAAGAGCTCATTGACTCAAGGAGCATCACGGCAACTGAGCTGCACCTGGAAGAGAAGAATCCAGGGTGTGATCCATAGCCAAGGCCTGAAGCAATGGGGCCCATACTTGGCCTCTCCAGGGTGAGTTGTGACCCAAGTGCTGGGCTTTAGCCCATGAGTGGTCCCTCTTGCCATTTTGTTTCCTCCCAAAGAGAAGCCAGTGTTGGTGATTTCATTTCTCATAATCTCCTTAGGAGCACAGGTTTTGGTTTGTGCCTTTTTTGGATCAGGTTCCCTGCATTGCAGCTGCTATAATTAAAACTATTAACAACAACACAGCACCACAGAAGCAAGTTAGTTGCTAATGGAATTTGCTGATAATGCTATCTTCTAGAGACCACTCTAGTAACTGGAGAGCCTTGGTGTAGAGCTGATGATAAAACCTGTTCCTGCTTTTGTCAGCCATGAGGAGCATTTCCTTTCTAGACAGAGGAACTGAAACCCACATGCCAGCCCAAATTTACCAAAAGCAGTCACTGGAATACTCATCACACCATCATGTCTCATCTTATCCCTTTCGTTACCTTCAAATACGGCCCCATTTCCTCAGGACCAGAACTCCCTTATGTGGGCAGCAGGACTAAGGCCCTTGAGTTACCTGTAGTGACTCCTCATCAAATGGAGGAATGTGCCAGTATTTTCGGCAAAACATGAATCTGATGAAACACTGACTGAACTGTCTCCTAGTTTCAAAACAAATTATTACCACTTAGGGCCTCTATTTAGGGCAATCAGAGTCAGAAGTGGGAACGCATCTTGTCCTCCTACCTTGATTAACAGTAACTCTAGTTGCAGGATGATGGTCAAATCCTCTCTCCTCTAATGTGCAGTTGTGAAGGATTTAGGCTCCACTGCTCCTGCATTTGGGTGGGGCCTGAATCACTTTCAGTCTAGCACAGGCGGGTCACTTCAGGCCTTCCCACCTCCATCAGCATCCTTCAATCCTCCCCTGACATCTCTCATTTATGCTTCCTATTGATTCAGAGATCCCATCCCGAGTGGCTAAAAGAAACATTCATTAACCTTTCTACAAAGTCATGAATAATCCATGGATTACATTGAATTCATCCCTACTAAAACCATCTTCAGAAATTCAGATGTAGTAACCTTCTTTCTGAATTTTTTTTTTTTTTTTTTTTTGAGATGGAGTCTTGCTCTGTCACCCAGGCTGGAGTGCAGTGGCATGATCTCAGCTCACTGCAAGCTCCACCTCCTGGGTTCATGACATTCTCCTGCCTCAGCCTCCCAAGTAGCTGGGACTACAGGCACCTGCCACCATGCCCGGCTAATTTTTTGTATTTTGTTTAGTAGAGACGGGGTTTCACTGTGTTAGCCAGGATGATCTCGATCTCCTGACCTCATGATCCGCCCACCTCGGCCTCCCAAAGTGCTGGGATTACAGGCGTAAGCTACCATGCCCAGCCAAGTATTCTATTCTTAATGAACACATATATGCATAATATATCTATTTTTTATAATATATATATTTAGAATTGAATGTCAGAGTACATATCAGTGTTGGAGGAAGGGAATAAGGAGGAAGCACAGAAAGTAAAAAGGAAAAATAGGCACCAAAAAAGATTTGGAGAATGGCAGATGGCCAAGGAGATGCAGCTGGGAAGTGCCTCTTCCATGGAGAGGAACATAATATCTAGTAAACCTTCACATTTTAAACAGATCTTTTGAGAGAAAACACTGAAAGTTGACACAGAGGTGACACAGACACCATGGTTGAAGAGGGAAGAAATGGGGCAGTCTGCTCAGAGTCACTAGACACCAGGACTGGCCCATATACCCTGAACAAACCCAAGGAAGGGGTGAGTGAAGAAACCCTGGGACACTACATACCCATAATGTATCTCTGAGATCCTAGTTACAGGAGTTTCTACGACCCTCATAGATCTTTGGACTGGTAGGAGAGCTGCCTCGAGCACATGCAGAGGCACAGTTTGAACCCACACAGAGCCCAGAAGGCTTTGTTGTGCTGTGCAGCTGCAGCAAAATGCAACCCTAGGTGCCCATCCCACAAGTCTCCATTTCATACTGAGTGGCTAAGTTCCTGCTGTCTGCCAGGCTGGGAGTGAACCACGCCTGGCCGGCTCACATGCCCAAGATAGGCCCCATCACCAATGCTGTGTGATTAAGTTGCATCTGGTCCACATGCCCCCTTGCCTGTCAACCCCTTCCCAGACCTCATGCCTGGTCACGCCTGCAAGAGGGTGTCCACAGCACAGCATCCACTGCATAGCTTGAGTGTTTTGTTGACAGCCTGGGAAAAGCTCACCACCCTGTCCCCAAATCACAGCCAGTGCTTGAAGCTTAGAGGCCAGAGGACAAATCCGTGAGCCCAGTCCCAACTCCCCAAGACTCAAGTATACCACCCAGGGACATTGAGCTGAGATTTGTAACCTAATCTCAAGTGAAGGAGGATCCTCCATAGTCAGAATGCAGAGAAGGGTGTGGTATGGGTTCTCATGGGGGCATGGGAGCTGGACGCCCCTCCCTTTGCAAGACCAGACCATGAAGGGTATGGCCTGATGGTGGTAGCTTCTTTCCCAGGGAGTGTCCTTGCACAGAATGCCTGGAGCAGCTCAACAATGTGGGAGCAGATAGCTTGGGGAAAGCCTAGTTGGTTGGGCTTGCCGCCAGGGCGAGTGTCTGTGGGAGATCTGCTGGGTCAGGGGAGTGTAAGCTAGGCAGACTCCATGGTTGCCTGCTGGGCTGAAAATCATGGGCTGCAGACTCCATACTGGTGTTGCACCCATTGTGCCACTGCCCTGCCTGGAGATCCTCTACCCTTGAAATACTGCATCATCAGAGCAACTGCAGACATACCCTAAAACCTGCTCTGACTTTGGTAAGCACAGTGGACTGGTGGGTCTCTGGAGAGTTGTGTGTCCCTAGAGATGTAATCCTCAGTGTGGACCATCCCTAGGGGAAGGGGGAGTGCAGCCTGCCAAAGCACAACATGAGACAAAGAAAATGCGACCATGGCATAAGCCACTGAAAGGAGCACCACCAAGGCCCAGAACCAGACTTGGAGAAGGAATTATGTCTCACCTCCATCTCCCCTCCCCAGTGCACTGTTGCAGATGCAAAAATAGCTCTTCCCATAGGGGCCCAGAAAGCATGCACTGAAAGAAGTTGTTTCTCATGATTCTCCAGTGAGGGCAAGCATGCACCAAGACCCCACCTGCCAGCTCTTACTCTTAAGTCCATCTACCAGATTGAAGTTTGAGTTATACCATCATATAAAAATACATTGCTAAAACAAGCAACATCTGTGAAAGCCACTGCAGCAACCTATCTGTAACCAAGGAACATATATGGAAACTTCACCGTCTGCAACTACCCAGAAATGAAGCCAATCAATCACATACACCACAGTCATACTTTCAAAGAGAATAAAAAATATAAAAGCCCTGTGATGGTTAATACTGAGTGTCAACTTGATTGTATTAAAGGGTGCAAAATATTGTTCCCGGGTGTGTTTGGAGGGTGTTGCCAAAGGAGATTAACATTTGAGTCTGGACTAGGAGAGGCAGAACCACCCTCAATCTGGGTGGGCACCATCTAATCAGCTGCCAGCATGGCTAGGACAAAGCAGGCAGGAGAAGGCAGAAGAGCAGACTTGCTGAGTCTCCTGGCTTTCATCTTTATCCTGTGCTGGATGCTTCCAGTTCTTCAGCTTTTGGACTCTTGGACTTACACCAGTGGTTTGCCAGGGGCTCTCGGGCCTTCAGCCACAGACTGAAGGCTGCACTGTCAGCTTCCCTACTTTTGAGGTTTTGGGACTCGAACTGGCTTCCCTGCTCCTCAGCTTGCAGATGGCTTATTGTGGGACTTTACCTTGTGATCATGTGAGTCAATGATCCTTAATAAACTCCCCTTCAAATGTACATCTATCCTATTACTTCGGTACCTATAGAGAACTCTGACTAATACAAACCCCATCTAAATGAATCAAATTCAAAAAAGAAGTGTCAACTCCCGCAGATGGAAAGGAATAAGCACAAGAAGTCTGGCAATACACAGAGCCAGAGTGTTTTGTGATCTCCAAAGCCTCTCACTAGCTCCCTAGGAAAGGATCCTGACCAGATGTAAATGTCTGAAATGAGACACATAGAACTCAGAAGATGGATGTCAAGGAAAGTCAATGAGACATAAGACAAAATAGAAATCCAATGCAAAGAAACCAGAAAAACAGTCCAAGATTTGAAAGACAACATAGTTATATTAAGAAAGAGCCAAACTGAAGTTCTGGAACTGAAAAATTCACTAAATAAATTTCAAAATATAGTTGGGAGACTTAAAAACAGACTAGGCCAAGCAGAAGGAAACATTTCAAAGCTTGAAGACTGATTCTTCAAATTAACCCAGTCATGCAAAAATAAAGAAAAAATATTTTTTAAAAAGACAAAGCCTTCAAGAAATATGGGATCATGTAAAGAAACCAATTCTACCACGTATTGGTATTCCTGAGAGGAAAGAAAGAGTAACCAACTTGGAAAACATATCTGAGGAAAAAATTCAAGAAAATATTCTCAATTTTGCTAGAGATGTTGACATGCATACACCAGAAATCCAGAGAACCCCTGTTATATACTATAAAGACAGCCATCCCCAAGACACATAGTCGTTAGACTATCTAAAGTTAACACAAAAGAAAAAACAAATCTCAGACACAGCTAGAGAAAAGAGCAACACTACCTACAAAGGGAACCCATCAGACTAACAGTGGACTTCTCAGAAGAAACCTTACAATCCAGCAGAGATTAGAGGTCTATTTTTAGTACTCTAAAAGGAATGACATTCCAGCATAAACATTCATATTCTTCAAAACTAAGCTTCATAAACGAAGGAGAAATTGAGTCTTTCTGAGTCAAGCAATCGGTAAGGGAATTTATCACCACCAGACTAGCCCTGCAGAAATGCTTAAGGGAGTTCTAAATGTGGACATGAAAGAACAATACACAGAAAAAGCACAGTTAAGTACATAGTCCACAGACTCTATAAAGCAACTACACAATTGAGACTGCAAAGAAACTAGCTAACAAAACTATGACAGGAACACAATCTCACATATCAATGTTAACCTTGAACATAAATGGCCTAAATCCTCCACTTAAAAGACATAGAGTGGCAAATTGGAATAAAAAAATCAGAATCACCCATCTGCTGTCTTCAAGAGACCCATCTCACAAGTAATGACACTCATGGGTTCAAAGTAAAGGGATAGAGAAAGATTAATCATGCAAATGGAAAACAAAAAAGAGCAGGAGTTTCTATTCTCATGTCAGAGAAAACAGATCTTCAGCCAAAAACAGAAACAAGGACAAAAAAAGTTATTGCATAATGACAAAGGGCTCAATTCAATAAGAATAATTAACTATCTTAAATAAATATGCACCCAACATTAATTGGAGCATCACGATACATAAAGAAATCACTACTAGACCTAAGAGGTAGACAGCCCCTCAGTAATAACTGGGAACTTCAACACTCCACTGACAGTGGTAGATAGATTATTGAGGCAGAAATCTAAACAAATAAATTCTGGACTTAAATTTGCCACTTGACCAATTGAACCTAATAGACATCTACAGAATACTCTACCCAACAACCACAATATACATATATATTTCCCATCTTCACATGGAACATACTCTAAGAGTGATCACATATGCAGTTATAAAGCAAGTGTCAAGAAATAAAAAAAATCAGATAATATCAAGCATCTTCTTGGACCGCAGTAGAATAAAAATAGAAATCAATAGCAAGAGGAACTCTAAAACACAGACACGCACACACAAACACACACGGAAACTAAAGAAATTACTCTTGAATGACTTTTGTTTGGGTAAACAATAAAATTAAAGCAGAAATCCAAGAATTTTTTAAACAAATGAAAATAGAGACACAATGAACAAAAACCTCTGGGATGCAATAATGGCAGTTTAAAAAGGAAAGATTATAGTGCTAAATACCTACATCAAAAAGATAGAAATATCTCAAATTAACAACCTAACATTGCACCTAAAGCAAGTAGTAAAACAAGAAAAAAAACTATATCCAAATATAGCATAAGAAAAGAAATAACAAAAATAAGAACAGGACTGAATAAAATTGAGACTCAAAAATCCACACAAAGGATCAACAAAATGAAAAGTTGGTTCTTTGAAAGTGTAAACAAAATTGATAGACTGCAAGCAAGATTAACAAAAAAGATCCAAATAAGCACAATCAGCCATAACAAAGGCGACATTCACTCGAGTCCCACAGAGATTCAAAAGATTCTCAGAGACTACTATGAACATTTCTATGTGCACAACTAGATAATCTAGAAGAAATGAATACATTCCTGGAAACACACAACCTCCCAAGATTGAACCAGGAAGAACCTGAAACACTGAACAGACCAACAATGAATTACAGAATGAATTGAATAAGTAATAGAAGCCTGGGACTAGATGAATTCATAGCTGAATTCTACCAGACACACAAAGGGGAGCTCATGCCAATCCTACTGAAACTATTCCAAAAAATCGAGGACGAGAGATTCTCCTCTGACTTACTCTACAAAACCTATATCATCATGATACCAAAATATGGCAAATACTCACACAAAAAACAAAACCCTAGGCCAATATATCTGATGAACATAGTTGAAAAAAATCCTCAACAAAGTACTTGCAAACCACATTCAGCAGCACATCAAAAAGATAATACAATATCAAGTGAACTTTATTCCTGGGATGTAAGGGTTGTTCAAATATATACAAATCAGTTAATGTGATTCACCACATAAACAGAATTTAAAATGAAAAAAAAAAACATAAGATTATCTCCACAGATGCAGGTAAAACATTTGATAAACTCCAACATGCCTTCATAATTAAAACCCTCAATAGACTAGGCATTCAAAGAACATACCTAAAATAATAAGAACCATCTATTGACAAACCTAGTCTACATTATACTAAACAGGCAAAAGTTGGAAGAATTCCCATAAGAACAAGAACAATACAAGAATATCCACTTTCACCATTCTTATTCAACTTAGTACTGGAAGCCCTAGCCAGAATGATCAGACAAAAGCAAGAAACAAAAGGAATCCAAATAGGAAAAGAGGAAATTAAATTTTATTTCTTCACTGATGATAGGATTCTATACCTAGAAAACCCTAATGATTCTGACCAAAGACTCCTAGAGTTGATTAAAAATTTCAGTAAAGTTTTAAGATAAGAAATCAATATACAAAAAGCAGTAGTATTTCTATACAATGCAATATTCAAACTGAGAACCAAATCAAGAACACAATCCCATTTACAAGAGCCACAGAAAAAAAAAAAGAAATACTTAGGAATACCTCTATCCAAGGAGGTAAAAGATCTCTTTAAGTAGAACTACAAAACACTGCTGAATGAAATCATAGATGACACAAACAAATGGAAAAATATTACATGCTTATGGATTGGAAGAATCAACATCATTAAAATGTCTTTACTGCCCAAAGCAATCTACAAATTCAGTGCAGTTCCTATCAAACTGCCAAAGTTATTTTTACACAGAATTAGAAAATCAATTCTAAAATTTGTATTTAACTAAAAAAGAGCCTGAATAGCCAAAGCAATCTTAAGCTAAAAGAACAAAGGCAGGGGCAACACATTACCTGACTTCAAACTATACTACGAGGCTACAATAACCAAAATAGCATGGTTTGGGTACAAAAATAGACACATAGACCAATGGAACAAAATAGAGAATCCAGAAATGAAGTCCCATACCTACAACCAACTGATCTTTAACAAAATTGATAAAAATACAATGGGGCAAGGATACCCTATTCAATTAATGGTGCTGGGAAAACTGGCTAACCATATTCGGAAGAATGAAATTAGACTCCTGTCTCTCACCATATAAAAAAATTAACTCAAGATTGATTAAAGACTTAAATGTAAAACTTTAAACTATAAGAAGCCTAGAATTAGACCTAAGAAGCTCTTTTGGATATTGGCCTATGCAAAGAATTTATGACTAAGTACTAAAACACAAAAGCAACAAAAACAAAAGTTGACAAGTGAGACCAAATTAAACTAAAGAGCTTCTGCACACTTGCATGTTATATTGCAAATATGAAATAGCAAAGACATGGAATCAACATTGGTTTCCAACAATGGTGGATTGGATAAAGAAACTATGATGCATATACACCATGGAATACTATGTAGCCAGAAGAAAGAATGAAATCCTTTCCTTTGCAGTAACATAGATGTGCCTGGATGCCATCATCCTAAATGAATTAAGATGTAAACAGAAAACCAAATACCGCATGTCCTCACTTATAGGTGAGAGCTAAACTTTGGGTACACAGGAGCAAAAGGATGGAAATAACAGACACTGGGGCCTCCAAAACAGGGGAAGGAAGGAGGGCAAGGTTTGAAAAGCTACTTATTGGGTACTATGTTTACTATTCAGATAATAAGTTCAATAGAAGCCCAAACCTCAGCATCATGCAATATGTTCATGTAACAAATGTACACATGCATGCTTAATCTAAAATAAAAATTAAATAATCAAATAAAATGATTTCCATGAATAAAATGGTAGATATGATTATGTGGAAAATGCTTTACTATTTATTATGTGGTGAATAATTTAATAATATTTAATAAATACATGAATGAAAAATAGCTACAACTGTGTGTTAGGATTTCAATAATTTTTTATTTCATTCCTAATAACTTTTATGTATTATTATATACATAATAATATATATAGTTAATAATAACAAAAACAACATGGTATTGAAATAATTTCCACCCAGACGGAGGATCAACATATTTAAGTGATTACACTACTCAAGATAAAAATCATTTATCAAACAGATCAAAGTCATTTACCTGCTTTCCTTTTTATAGGTCCTAGGAACACACGTGCCACAGACAATAAAACATCACTTCCCCCATCCCACTACTTTGGACTTTATTTAACATCTTTGGGTAGAACAGAAACTGTTGATAAGGTGAGTTTTGTTTTATAGACAAGAGAGGAAAATGGATACTTTGTGTGGTCTGGGCCTTAGAAACAGACTAAGATCTTTTTTTTTCTATTTTGCTTTTTTTACTAGGATAAAATATTAATTGGCAAAACATCGAATACAAGCTTCACTATCATAAAATCAAAACATTTAAGCAATATTCCAAAAAAGATTTGACAAAAACTAGACACCAAGAGTACAAAAATTACACATCAACACAAAGCATAAAAAATGTGAACTTTCAAATTAAACAGTCAAAAACATGTACCTGCATGATCACCTCCACACCTTGACTGCCTTCGTCTGCAGCACGCTGCTGGTAAAGGCTGGGTGGCTGCACCGTCGTCCCCTAACCTAACATTGCTTTCATCTGTGAAAATTCGCTTGATAGCCAATTAAGCCATGGAGGCTATTACATTTACACGGAGGCTACGCACAATCTCAGGGGAGGCTCAAACAGCAGTTCGTTCCTCACACGCACTGTTGGGTGCAAAGGGCACCTGGAGAGTGAGGGAGACCTGGGCGCTTTCCTGCGGGGCCTTGGCCACGCGGCCGTCGCCCGCACCCTGTCCCTTGCCTGGCAGGGGACACAATATTTGTACAGATTATGGTATAATTTGAACGATTTCCTAATCTACTTATCTTAATTTATATAGTTTATTTAAATGTCAAGGCAGAGAAATACATTGCTCATGTTAAGGTCACGTGATGTGGTGGCGCAGTAATGACTTCCTGAGGAAACAGAGAAATTGGATGTTTTGTGATTTAGCTATGTGCACTAAACTTATTTTCCATGTTTTGAGAGCACATTAAACATTCACGTACAATGTGGGAATAGGCTGGCTCGTAACCAAAACGTCCAACCCAGTGCCACCCTTTGAATCGCTGCGAACACCATCCTATTGCGGTTCAGAGAAAACAAGCAAGGCTGCGAAGCCCGGGGGTTCAGGCAGCTGCAGCGCTTGGGCCAAGGTAGCTCCGCTCTCTGGTCTGAAGCCACGTGGCCCCACCCCGG
The DNA here is from genome assembly GCF_000001405.40 of Homo sapiens. Classification (NCBI taxonomy): domain Eukaryota; kingdom Metazoa; phylum Chordata; class Mammalia; order Primates; family Hominidae; genus Homo; species Homo sapiens. The sequence goes on from NC_000010.11 coordinate 87,408,250, forward strand.
GGCGGCCTGGCTTTTTTATATTGCTTATTGCTGTGTTTGGCATGCCATTCAACCCATCGGGATGTTGGATAGTGACTTGAGAGCAATACCTAGATTTGCCCTGTCGGGATGTTGCATACTGAGCTCGGAATAAGCCCTGCTCAATTGAGGCACTATCACTAGGAGGAGGCACTGATTCCCGCCTTTCAATGCTGTCTATTGGTGAAAGAGGAGTTGGATGGCATCTGGGAAATTAGTATCACTTCTACTTTTTCTTCTTTTCTTTTAAAGGTTAAAAATACCTTGTATTAGTTAATACTGCTATAAAATATGAATATCCAAATCTCTGTGGCTCAGTAAAATAGATTTTTTTTTCACTCAGAGAAAGTTCAGGTCCACCCTTAGTAACCCAGGCTGACAGAGACTCTTCCATTTTCTATACATAGCTTCCCCAATTGCCCAGAGAAGAGTGGAAAGATTTTATAGGTGACTGTACACAAGAATAAGAACTTAGTACCTAGTCACTAATTTACTCGTTGAATAAACATTTATGGAGCTTAACATATTAATCACTAGGCAGACGCTGGGACACAAGAAAAATCTTTAAGATATGTCACTGCTTATTACCAATAATGTTCTAGTGAGTAACGAGAGTTAATAATACGACTAATTATAGTATTGTAAATATAATTACAGTTCCAATAAGACATACACACACAGAGAACAATTTTATCTGGTGGTTGAGGAAATCTTTATTGATTTAAGATATCTTTTGATGAACAGGATTTTTCAATAACTATCAGAAAAAGAATGTCTATGACTTATTTTTAAAAATGATTTTCTTATCTGCCTTGCATATCTGACACTTTCATCTCCTATCTTCCTTGAATACAATATAGAACCTGACATTTCTTTCCTTTCAAAGATCCTTAGAGCATTTCCTACATTTAATCTGAATGTCTTTCTCAGTAATTTTTCCTATACAAGCAATTATGGCTACATTTTCTTAATATAATCATGAAAAGGTGAGCAAAACTGAAAATTTAATTTGGAGAATAGATACGAAACATATTCAATTAATTCAAGTTGTTGTTAGGCTGCATATGTTCAGCTTTCAGTGAAGATGAACAAATGATGATAAATGAGAAACTGAAAGAAAACAAACCAATAGGTGTTTTTTAAGAAACAATATTATTAAAGTGCATGTGTTTTCTACTGAATGAAAGCAACATAGACCTTTTCCTCACATTGGTAGTTAGTAAGATATATAAAAACAACTTTGTAAAGAACAATTAATACAGGTTAATGAATCATTGTGAAAAGGGGATAACACACTTTATTCTAGGAATGATCTGCAAGGTGTTAAAAGTTAAAAAAGATGAAGAACAATTGAGTAGTTATTTGATCATAGTGTTTATTAAATTGCTTTTCCTGTATCTGGAAAGCTTTACAGAAATGTCTTCAACAGAATAACTGTGTTAAAAGCCAAATGAAATGCATTATGAAATATGATTCTTCACTTGGTGTGCAGGTATAATCTCAGGTGTAATTCACACAAAGAGACAAATTCAATTTTAAAGTTCCATTTGTTACAATTTGATGATTGTGATTAAAGAACCATAAAAATTTTATCTTTGACATTTCATTTTTTCCTCACAAAAGCATTCTACTGTAATTTTCTTAGTTTTCTTTCCTCTTAACTGTGGTGTTACCTATAAATGCTGGATTTCTCTGTTTTACGTGCAACAAATCTACAATCAACTATTTCTGGAACACCACTTCATCTTAACAACAAGGACCCATAAATATTTTAAAAATTCAAAATGTTATATATAAAACGCTAAATGATACACATAATACATTTCTAAGTAGTAATTATGATTATGCCCATAATTATACCCATAATTTAAAAATATGTTACCTGAAGTAAATTATTATACATTTTATGTTGGAAGTGTTCATTTATCTTTGATCTCTGTTAACACATTGTACTATGTGGTAATAATATAAACTGCCTTACTGGATAGTGATGTATCTTTGGTTTCATATTGTTACTGGACTAATATTCCAACACTATAGATAGTGAAATTTAACATTGAAACAATTTGATAATGCCATCAATGAATCCAGTTTTTAAGAATGGGATCCATTTTCTAAAATTGAGTATATAGATACTTCATGAGATATCTTATCATGCATCCTAAACCAAACCAACCTCTTCCCCTGACTGTCTTACAGTGTATTATTATTTTATCCACCGCAGCAACTAGTACATTTTTCAGAACCTAGTAGATATTCAGTCATTGTCTATGGAATACATGAACACATTCTGAATTTGGACAGTCATCATTCTTGGTGTTTTAAAACAAACACTTCCTGAATTGCATCCACTATTTTCTAAGAAGCCCTAGGAATTCATTGAAGGAGGGTATGGGTAAGTTGGGGGTGAAACTGTAAAGATGTAGGTCCTCCTCCCAAAACTTCTTCAGCGTATCTTCATTGCTGTTTGTTTGTTTGCTTGCTTGCTTATTTTAAAAGAGATCTAGATATAGTCTAATAAGAATTGCATAAATGTGATGTTCCACAATGATTCTAACTTACATGGTGCAAAATAATAAAATATTACATTCTAGCTGTTTGTAGAAAACCATGGATACTATAAAGGATCTAGATTTTCTCTCTCCTTTCCTCCTAAGATTTATTCACTCAGCAAAGACTTACCTGGTGACTACTTAGTGCTAGACACTGTTTTAGATACTTGGGCTATAACAGTGAAAAGAACAGTAATTGAATTAACGAAAAGTTCATTTTAATTAGCTGTATGGTAAAATAGGAAACTAACAAAAATAAAATATAACATGTCAAATGGCAATGACTGCTCTGAGAAAAATAAAGGAGAATAAGAGGTTCTAAATTATTATATATGGCCAATATTACCAACATATTATAGAAAGCAATGAGTTCATAATGTTTATCAGAGAATTCCATGAAAATCGCTAAATTTTTCTAGAAAGCCAGGCACTGATAAGAGAATAAACAAACAGATAACCGATTTTAATTTGATCTTCTCTTACAGGTGCAGCTATGATCTGCCATTGTATATAATATAAAATTAAAAATTGTTTATATTTCATTCACGTTAGCATATAATGTTCTTACTTTTTTTTTTTTTTGAGACGGAGTCTTGCTCTGTCACCTAGGCTGAAGCACAGTGGCACAGTCTCAGCTCACTACAACCTCCACTTCCTGGGTTCAAGTGATTCTCCTGCTCCAGCCTCCCAAGTAGCTGGGACTACAGGCAGGCAACACCACGCCTGGCCAATTTTTGTATTTTATTAGAGACGGGGTTTCACCAAATTGGCCAGGCTGGTTTTGAACTCCTGACCTCAGATGATCTGCCTGTGCCTCGGACTCCAATAGTGCTGGGATTACAGGCGTGAGCCACAGTGCCCGGCCAACATTTTTACATTTAAATATCAGACATCTATCAGATTCCTTTCTCCCTACTACAAACATTGTATGCTTTTCGATAGGCATAAGATTTTGTTTTCATTCAGGTTGGATTCAACAAGTATTATTTAGCAGTTCATTGCATCTATCCATTTACCCAATAGAGGAAGTATACAAGATACAAATGAATAAAGTGTAATAATTCTTATACTATTTGCCCTTATGTCATGTAACTGCTCCATGTTTGTATTCCGAAAACCTAACTGGGAGGGAAAACTCAGAAAAATAGAATAAAAAGTATTATATATCTCATACATCCTCATTTTAGAATATTCTAGGGGTACAGATCAGTATAAATAAAATACTCTGGTAAGTGCCCACCACATCATCTGTTTGTCATTCTTAGACCCAGAGTATACCATTCTTTTAAGAAAGAAAACTTGCTACTGTACCTCCTACCCAGTAACATATATATCACATATCATATATATATCATAACATATATATCATATATCATATATACACATATCATATATCTCATATATATAACATATTTGCTACTGGTTAGGAGTAACACTCAGAAAATCACACTTAATAATGTAGTACAATTAGGTATAAATTCACTTAGTATTTTTAAATTTTACGTGTATTCCTATTTATATGAATGGTCATTTAAAATCACATCTACTGATCCTGATAGCATTAAAGGCATAAGAGGTACTGAGGATATTAATTTAATTTTGTTTACAGCTATGCACAGATATTTTTAGTTCACTCAGATTTAATCCAGTAGTCTATTATTTGATTAATTGTACAGCTATCAAATCATTCAGGACTCCCACTGTTTCAACAACGAGTGGAAAAATATTTTTTCATTTATGTTTATATGCAGCTATTTGTAGTCTAAATTAATATCCTAGCAATTGATGGTGAAATTAAAATTATTTCTGTCAGATATGGTAATTTGATGACAGTGGATAAGCATGGGAGTAAAAGAAAGTTTTGGGGAAGAGGGGACAGTTTTTGTTTACTTAATGATTATTCCAAAGATGTTAAGTAAACATTCTATAGAATGCTACAGATAGTGGAATACAGCATTGAAACAATTTAATAATGTAGTCATTGAGTCCAGTTTTTAGAAATGGGATCTATTTTCTAAAACTGAGCATACAGACACTTCATGAGATGCTTTATCACGCATCCTAAACCAAACCAACCCCTTCCCTTGACTGTCTTGCAGTGCATAGGGCATCTCTACACTCTAGGAAAGAAATTATCAATCTGTTTATATGCCACTTATAAAATCATACTTAATGTACGATTAGGCATAAATTTACTTGCATTTTTAAATTTTGTAAAATGTTAACGGTAAGTGTTCTTGAAAAATATTTCTGAGAATATTTTCCAAAAAATGAACAAATTTTAATACATAAGGGACAATATCTTTGTAGTGAATTGATTATCAGAGTGTAATGTGGTATGTTCTGATTATGTTACATAATATTCTGATTAGCAGAAAATTCTGAATAAGTGAATTTAGCAAAATGTTTAGAGGTCAAGAAAACTGTTTTAGACTGACTATGTTTTCTGACCCAAATGTAAGAAAGAACCCAATAAAAAGAGGCAGCCAGATAATGCTGTTGTTTGCAAACTTAAACAGAAGCTTGCATGTAATTTATGACTCAAAGAAAAATAAAAATAGAAGTTATACTTTATTTAGAACTTAATGACAGTGAAAAATTACACATAAAAAGGAAGACTGTTGAATACAGCAAAAGCTGGAATTATATAAGAAATATAAACATAAACACACAAAATAAGTGTAAATTATAATGAAGTAAAAATATATCAAAGAGAAAGAAGGAAGTAGTACAATAAAAAATAAAGCTGATTCTTTAAAAACCATAGTTAAATAGACAAATTTCCAGCCAGATTGTTTACCAAGTAAAGAGAAAAAGAAGGAGATAGATCAAAAGACACAAGATGGTGATGAAAAGAGGGTTAGCACTTATAAACATAGTAGAAATTTAAGCCATAATGAGCACAAGAAAGCATTATCAACTTACTTTTGAATATATAAAATAAAGACACTTAAAAAAACTGAACAAAAATGACTTACTAGTTTTAAAAGAAAAAAGAAAAAACATCAAACATCTATCCTTCCAAAAGTATAGACTTCAAAAGTATAGTCCCAGATGGGTGAACATAAACCACACTTTAAGCAAGAACTCTCCATTATAACTGCTTGCAATTTTAGAGGATACCAGCCACACTCCTGAACCAGAGCTTGGCACTGGCTATTCCCTCTGGAACACCCTTTTATTTCCTTCTCTAAGCAAAGACATGGAATCAACCTAAATGCCCATCAGTGGTCTGCTGGATAAAGAAAATGTGGTATATAAACACCATGGAATACTATGCAGCCATAAAAAAAGAACAAGATCTTGTTCTTTGCAGGGATGTGGATCTAGTTAGAGACCATTATCCTTAGCAAACTAACACAGGAACAGAAGATCAAACACTGCATGTTCTCACTCATAGGTGGGAGCTAAATGATTAGAACACACGGACACATAGAGTGGGGGACAACACACACTGGGGCTTTTTGGAGGGTGGAGAACTGGAGGAGGGAGAAGATAAAAAAGAATAACTAGTGGTTACTAGGCTTAATACTGGGGTGATGAAATAATCTGTACAACAAACCACCATGATACAAGTTTACCTATGTAATGAACCTGCACTTGTACCCCTGAACTTAAAAGTTAAAAATGAATGAAGCCTGTCAGAACCACCCATTTAGCAGTCTAACATTTTCCCTAGTATTCCCAAACCCCTTTGCCTAGCCAACATTTTCCACAGCACTTTTTGTCTTCAAACTACTGGCCTGAAGCAATCTGGCTTAGCTTTCTGAGTAGCTGGAATTGCAGGTGTACCAGTGTGCCCAGCCACAGTTTTTTCAAGACCTGTTTAAGATAACAGGTTAGAGAAAATCAAGATAATATTTTGAGGGGGAAGAAGGTAAAATCAATTAAGACAGGGTGCACAGAGTACTTGAATGGTACAGATAATGTTTATCCTTTGTACTAAATGGTGTGTATGTGGGAACTGATTATATTATTTTGACTGTTTGTAGTCATATTATATACATATGTGTATAAATAAAAATAAAAGAAAAAATATAAGCTAAATTTATAGATATATTAATTTTATTTAAATAGAACAAAGATATGCCAGTATTCAAATGTCTGCAATGATTCTTAAAATGCACAGAACCTGTGTTTAGGTACAGTATCACACTGTTCATCCAGGCTTCATTCACTCGAATCTACTCTTATCTAAAATTTGTACTGTAAGTAAAATTACATTCTGTATGACAGAAAGCAAATTATAATATTAGAACAACATTATGGAAAATTGGCATAACATTGTACAATCATCCATTACTTTATTATTTATCATTTTGCAACTTTTTATTATATTAGTAAAAAAAGTCTAACTGTACTTAATAGCTAATACATATGTTATTTGATATTTTTAAAGACCATTATTAAAATAATAATAATTTGGGGGTGAGAAGGCCTATTGAAAAATGACCAACGTGGAAATCATAAATAAGTTTGATGCAACAAATATTTGTGAGTCTTATAGTTAAAAATGTAAAAATTCATTATAAACAAAGCTAAAAGACAATAATATGCATTGGGAAATATTTGCAACATTTACTTCAAGGGTTGATGTCCTTAAGAGAATTTTTACAAATTAATAAACATTTAAAAAGGTGAGGAATGGCAATAGCTATGAGAGACAATTTACAAAAACATAAAAAATATGAAAACTGTTTAATCTGTAAGTACATCAATAAAAATTTTATTATAGTAGTTATGTTATCTATTAAATTAGGAAAGGTCAATACAATTGGTAATCTTCCAAGCAAATATAGGGGAGAAGGGCTTTCTCATACACTTATAAGAATATTATTTTGTTAGAATGCAATTAAATAAACACTTGGTAAAAATCTATATCCTTTGTCCAAACAATTTCAGTTCTAGACCTCTAGAATCCACATATACATATACATATATACATACATATACACACACACATTCATACCTATATATTAACAACTCAAATCCAGCTCCAACTC